>NC_000004.12:80739562-80891077 GCF_000001405.40 Homo sapiens | reverse complement strand
AAATGGGATCTAATTAAACTAAAGAGCTTCTGCACAGCAAAAGAAACTACCGTCAGAGTGAACAGGCAACCTACAAAATGGAGAGAATTTTCGCAACCTACTCATCTGACAAAGGGCTAATATCCAGAATCTACAATGAACTCAAACAAATTTACAAGAAAAAAACAAACAACCCCATCAAAAAGTGGGCGAAGGACATGAACAGACACTTCTCAAAAGAAGACATTTATGCAGCCAAAAAACACATGAAGAAATGCTCATCATCACTGGCCATCAGAGAAATGCAAATCAAAACCACTATGAGATACCATCTCACACCAGTTAGAATGGCAATCATTAAAAAGTCAGGAAACAACAGGTGCTAGAGAGGATGTGGAGAAATAGGAACACTTTTACACTGTTGGTGGGACTGTAAACTAGTTCAACCATTGTGGAAGTCAGTGTGGCGATTCCTCAGGGATCTAGAACTAGAAATACCATTTGACCCAGCCATCCCATTACTGGGTATATACCCAAAGGACTATAAATCATGCTGCTATAAAGACACATGCACACGTATGTTTATTGCGGCACTATTCACAATAGCAAAGACTTGGATCTCTGCAATTTCTTTCATCAGTCTTTTATAGGTTTTCATTGTATAGATGTTTCATTTATTTGGGTAAATTAATTCCTAGGTATTTTCTTTTATTTGTGGCTATTGTAAATGGGATTACTTTTTTATTTCTTTTTTAGATTGTTCACTGTTGGTATATAAAAATGCTCCTGATTTTTATATGTTGATTTTGTATCACGCAACTTTATTGAATTTGTTTATTGGTTCTAACAGCTTTTTGTGGAGTCTTTAGGTTTTTCCAAGTATGAGATCATATCAACTACCAACAAAGATAATTTGACTTCTTCCATTCCAGTTTGGATGCCCTCTATTTCTTCCTCCTGTCTAAGTATTATGGCTAGGACTTCCAGTACTATTTTGAATAGTAGTGGGGAAAATAACATCATTATCATGTTCCTGATATAAGAGGGAAGGGAAGGATTTCAGTTTTACCTCATTCAGTATGATATTAGCTGTGGATCTGACATATATGGGTTTTATTACATTGAGGTATGTTCATTCTATTCCTAGTTCTTTGAGGATTCTTATCATTAAGAGGTGTTGACATTTATCAAATGCTTTCTCAGCATCAATTGAAATGACTATATGTTTTTTGTCCTTCATTCTGTTGATATGAGGTATTACACTGACTGATTTGCATATGTTGAACCATCCTTGCATCCCTGGGATGAGTCCTACTTGGTCATGATGAATGATCTTTTTAATGTATTTTTGAATTTGGTTTGCGAGTATTTTGTTGAGAATTTTTGTATTTATATTCATCAGAGATATTGGCCTGCAGTTTTCCATTTTAGATATGTTTTTGTCTGGTTTTGGTATTAGGGTAATGCTGGCTTTGTAGAATAAGTTTGGAAGTATTCTGTCTTCCTCTATTTTTCACAATAGTTTGAACAGGATTGGTAGTAGTTCTCTATTAAATTTCTGGTAAAATTCATCAGTAAAGCCATTGGGTCCCAGGCGTTTCTTTGGGAAATTTTTATTTCACCTTCAATCTTGTTACTTATTATCGGTCTATTGAGGTTTTGGATTTCTTCCTGATTCAATCTTGGTAGGTCATATATGTCTAGAAATGTATTCATTTCTTGTAGGTTTTTCAATGTATAGGCATATATTTGCTCATAGTAGCCACTAATGTTCCTTTGAATTTCTGCAGTATCAGTTGAAATGTCTTCTTTTTCATCTATGATTTTATTTATTTGAGGCTTCTCTCTCTTTTTCTTAGTCTGGCTAAAGGTTTGTCAATTTTGTTAATCTTTAAAAAAAAACTTTTATTTTGTTGATCTCTTGTATTGTTTTGTTCATTTCAAATTCGTTTATTTTTGCTTTGATCTTTGTTATTTCTTCCCTACTAATTTAGGGTTTTGTTTGCTCTTGTTCTTCTAGTTCTTTAAGATGCATTGTTAGGTAGTTTATTTGAAGTTTTCCCTCTTTTTTTTTTTTTTTTTTTTTTGCTTAGGCACTTATAGGTATAAACTTCCCTCTGAATACTGCTTTTGCTGTATCCCACAGGTTTTGGCATGTCGTGTTTCCATTATTATTTGTTTCAAGAAAATTTTCAACTTCCTTCTTAATTATTTCACTGATTCATTGGTCATTCAGAAACATATTGTTAATGTTCAATGTGTTTGTATAGTTTCCAAAAATTCCTCTTGTTATTGATTTCTAGTTTTATTCCATTGTGGTTTCAGAACATGTTTGATATTGTTTCAATTTTTTTGAAAATTTAAATACTTGTTTTGTGACCTAACATATGGTCTATTCTTGAGAATGATCCATGAGAGGAGGAGAAGAATGTGTATTCTTCAGCCATTGAATGAAATATTTTGTAAATATCTATTAGGCACATTTGTTTTATAGTAGAGGTTAAGTCCGATGTTTCCTTGTTGATTTTCTGCCTGGGAGATCTGTCCAATGCTGAAAGTAGGATGTTGAAGTCTCCAGATATTATTGTATTGGGATCTATCTCATTGCCTCTAATAATATTTGCTTTATATATCTGGTGATGGGTGCACATATATTTCCAATCATTAAATTATCTTGCCAAATTGATCCCTTTATCATTAAATAATGATCTTCTTTGTCTCACACTTTTTTCTTGAAATCTATTTTGTTC
Organism: Homo sapiens; assembly: GCF_000001405.40. Taxonomy (NCBI): domain Eukaryota; kingdom Metazoa; phylum Chordata; class Mammalia; order Primates; family Hominidae; genus Homo; species Homo sapiens. The sequence goes on along the minus strand of NC_000004.12, from coordinate 80,888,348 downwards.
AACATAAGTATAACTACTCCTGATCATTTTTTGGTTTCCGTTAGCATGGAATATCTTTTTTCATCCCTTTATTTTCAGTCTATCTGTATCTTTGTATGTGAAGTGTGTTTCTTGTAGGCAGCGGATCGTTGACCCTTGTTTTTTCACCCATGCAGCCACTCTATGTCTTTTGATGGCAGAATTTAGTCCATTTACATTCAATGATATTATTGATAAATAAGGACTTACTCTTGCCATTTTGTTATTTGTTTTCTGGTTGCTTAATGGTCTTCTCTTTCTTCTTTCCTTGCTTCCTTCTTGTCTACATTTTGGTGAAGGTGATTTTTCTCTGGTGATATACTTTACTTTCCTATTTTTTTATTTTTTTATATGCCCATTGTATGATTTTTGGTTGAGGTTACCATGAGGCTAGCATATACTGTCTCATAACCCATTATTTTAAGCTGATGACAACTTAATACGGATTATATACAAACAGGCAAAAAGAAAACTAATGAGAACTCTACACCTTAACTTCATCCTCCCACTTTTTAACTTTTTCTATTTCTCCTTATGTCTTATTGCACTATGTCTTGAAAAGTTGTTGTAGTTTTCATGGTTAATTAGTTCATAATTTAGTCTTTCTACTTAAGAGTAATTTATACCACAATTACAGTGTTACATAATTCTGTATTATTCTATGTGCTCACTATTACCAGTGAGTTATTAACCTTCAGTTGATTTCTTCTTGCTCATTCACATCCTTTTCTTTCAGATTGAAGAACTCTCTTTAGCATTTCTTCTAGGACAGGTCTTGTGTTGATGTAATCCCTCAGCTTTTGTTTTTCTGGGAAGTTATTTATTTCTCCTTCATGCTTGAAGGATATTTTCACCAGCTATACTCTTCAAGGGTATTTTTTTTCTTTCAGCACTTTAAATATGTCATACCACTCTATCCTGGCCCCTAATGTTTCCACTGAGAAGTCTGCTTCCAGAGGTATTACAGATCCATTGTATGTTGTTTGTTTCTTCTCTCTTGCTGCTTTTAGGATTCTTTCTTCATCCTTGACCTTTGGGAGTTTGATTATTAAATGTCTTTAGGTAGTCTTCTTTGGGTTAAATCTGCATAATGTTCCATAACCTTCTTGTACTTGAATGTTGATATTTCTCTAGGTTTGGGACGTTCTCTGATATTATCCATTTGAATAAATTTTCTACTCCTATCTCTTTGTCTACCTCCTCTTTAAGGCCAATAATTCTTAGATTTACCCTTTTGGGGCTATTTTCTAGATTCCATGGGTATGCTTCATTGTTTATTTTTTTTCTTTTGTCTCCTCTGACTGTGTATTTTCGAATAGGCTATTTTCAAGCTTACTAATACTTTCTTCTGCTTGATCAATTCTAGTATTAAGAGACTCTGATACATTCTTCAGTATGTCAGTTGCATTTTTAAACTCTAGAATTTCTGCTTGATTCTTTGCAATTATTTCAATCTCTTTGTTAAATTTATCTGATATATGATTCTAAACTTCTCTGGGTTATCTTGAATTTCTTCGAGTTTTCTCCTAACAGCCATTTTGAACTATCTGTCTGAAAGGTCATATATGTCTATTTCTCCAGGATTGGTCCCTGATGCCTTATTTATACTGGTGAAGTTACGTGTTCCTGGATGGTTTGATGCTTGTAGATGCTCATCAGTGCCTTGGCATTGATGAGTTAATTATTTATTGTTGTCTTCATAGTCTGGGCTTGTTTGTGCTTGTCCTCTTTGGGAAGGCTTTCCAAATATTTAAAGGGACTTGGGCCCCAAGCCCAATCGTGCTGTGATTTTTACAGGCTCAAACAGGTACTGTGTTGGTGGTCTTGGATAAAATCTGGAAACATTCTCTGGATTACCAGGCAGAGACTCTTGTGTTTTTCCCTAACTTTCTTTCAAACAAATGAAGTTTCTCTCTGTGTCGCACTATGTGGAACTGTGGGTGTGGTGATGCAAGCACCTCTGTGGCCACCATCATTGGAACTGTGCTGGGTTAGATCTGAAGCAAGAACAAAACTGGGCTTTGCCCGAAGCCCTTCACTTGAAAGTAAAGAGTTTCCCCAGGCCCTGGGCACATTCAGAAATGCTGTCTGGGAGCCAGGAATTGGAGTAAAAACCTTAGCAATTTACCTGATATTCTATTCTACTGTGGTTAAGCTAGCACTCAAACCACAATAAAAAGTGATTCCTGCTCTTCCTTCCCATTTCCACAGGCAGAGGAGCCACTCCCTGTGCCCATTACCACCACTAGTCCGTGGGGTGTTCTGCCAGGCCACCACTGATGTTCACTTAAAACCCAAGGGCTCTTTTGTCAGCTTGTGGTGAATGTTACCAGGCCTGGGACTCACCCTTCAAGGCAGTGGGCTCCCCTCTGGCCCAGGGCAGGTCCAGAAATGCTGTCCAAGAGGATAGGCCTGGACTCAGGGACACCAAGGTCCTGCTTGTTGCTCTACCTCACTGTGGATGAGCTGGTACCTAAAGTGCATGGCAAAATCCCCTTTAGTTTTCCCTCTGAAGGAGTCTTTCACAGTAGCCACCACAGCTGGGAATGTGTTGGGTCACCCCTGAAGTCAGAACTTCTCAGTGCCCAAGCCCCATAGCATACTCCCTGAGTATCACTTTTGGTTATTCACAGCCCAAGGACTGTTTAGTCAGCAGGTGATGAATCCTTCAAGGACTGGGTCCTTCCCTTCAAGGTACCTAGTTCCCTTTTGGCCCAGGGTGTGTCTTGAAATGTCATCTAGGAGGTAGAACCTGGAATGGAGGCCTCAGGACTCTGCCTGTTTCCCTATCCCACTGTGACTGAGCTGGTACCCAAGTTGCAAAACAAAGTCCTCTTTTCTCTCTCCTGACCTTGGGCAGGAGGAAGGAGTCACTTTTGTTGCTGTGAGCTGCACTGCCCAGGATTAGGATAGGGATGGTGCAGGCATTCCCATAGCTGCAACATCTTGTGTCTCCCTAGGTCACATTCCGCAGTAGTTCACTGGCTCTAAGCCTAATCTAGCACTAGGAATTGCCTAGGAATTGATTGCAGTCCTTGTGTCCTAGACTGCCTTTCAAGTTTATCTAAAATCCCAGAGCACTTCAGCTTGTAGTAGTGGAGCCTGATGAGAAAGTCAGGTTCCAATTGCTGGGATGGGCAATTGCCATCTGGCTAGGGCTGGTCCAAATACTCCCTCCATGTGTGGGCACTGGCTGAGCCCAGCAAGTCCTTATTATCTGCTGCGTGTGATAGGGCAGCACTGAGTTCAATGTAAAGTCACCCAGTCACTAAACTCTCCCTCCCCAAAGCTCACAGATTCTCTGAGTGGTATTACTGTTGCTGGGGTATGGGGGAGGGATGCTGGTGGCAATTAAGACTGTCTCTCTGAGCCTCTTCCATGCTTCTTTTAGCGATAAGAAATTAAAACCACATACTGCGATTGCTTATCGGAGTTTTGGTTCTTGTGACAATTGTTAACAGTTGTGATTGTGCTTTTATGTGTGAAGATACTTGTTAAAATTTGGTGTTCCAGTGAATGGGGGTGATGAATGATGCAGGGTTCTATTCTGCCATCTTGCTCCACCCTCTCTCCTTTATTTCTTGGTCTAGCTAAAGGAATGTCAACTTTGTTTATTTTATTTTTTATAAAAAATTAGCTCTTAGTTTCGTTGCTCTTTTCTATTTTTTTTTTTTTTGGTATTCGCTATATAATTTATTATTTTTATTATTTTATAATTTTCTTTATTATTTTCTTCCTCTGCTATGTGTAAAGTTAGGTTATTTGAAATATTTTGTTTTTTCTGAATGTAGGTGTTTATTGCTACACACTTTTGGAACTGCTTTTGCTGCATCCCATAAATTTGGGTATGGTGTATTACCATTTAAATGTGTCTAAAGACATTTTTAAATTTCCCTTTTGGTTTATTCTTTTACCTGTTGGTTTTCAGGAGTGTGTTGTTAATATTCCACTTATTTGTGGGTTTTTCCAAAGTTATTCCTATTTATATCTAGTTTCATAATATTGTGCTTGAACAAGAAACTTGATCCAATTTTAAAAAATTTATTGAGACACTTCTGTGGCCTGACATGATCTATCCTGAAGAATATTTCTTGTGCACTTGAGAAGAATGTGTATTCTGCTGCTGTTGGAAAGTTGACCTATAGTGTTGTTCAAGTCTGCTGTTTTCTTTCTGAATTTTTGTTTTATCTGTACATTGTTGAAAGTGGAGAATTGCCTCATGTTCTTACTTATATGTGGGAGCTAAATGACGAGACCACATGGACACATAGAAGGGAACACCACACACCAGTGCATACTGGAGGGTGAAGGGTGGGAAAAGGGAGAGGATCAGAAAAAATAACTATTGAGTACCAGGCCTAATACCTGGGTGATGAAATAATTGGTACAACAAACCTCCATGACACATGTAACAACCCTGCACATCCTGCACGTGTACCCCTGAACTTAAAATAAAAGTAAAAACAAACAAACAAACAAACAAACAAAAAAGTGGACTATTGAAGTCCTCTATTATTATTGTATTGCTATCTCTCCCTTCAAATCTGTTGATATTTGGTTCATATATTTAAGAGCTCTGAGTGCATATTTTAAAAAATTATATCCTCTTAATTCGCTTCTGTATCACTCTATTATGAACTTCTTTATCCCTTGTGAAAATTTTCTATATAAAGTCTATTTTGTCTAATATAAGATTAGACACTCCTGCTCTCTTTTAATTATTACTTTATGTAACATTTTTTTCATGAAAATGTATTCATTTTCAGCCTATTTGTGTCCTTAAAGGTAAACTGAGTCGTTTGTAGGCAGCATATGGTTGGATAATGTTTTCTTATCCTTTCATCCACTTTTTTGATTGGGAAATTTAACTATTTACATATATAGTAATTATTGATAGGGAGGACTTTTAATTGTCATTTTGTTGTTTTCTGAACATTTTGTAGTTTCTTTGTTCCTTTCTTCTTCTCTTGCTGTTTTTCTTTATGATTTCATGATTTTTATAGTGGTATGCTTTGATTCCTTCTCTTTATATTTTCTGTATCTTGCACAGGTTTAATTTGTGTTTACCGTGAGGCTAATATATGCCATCTTTAGTTATAACAGTCCATTTTCACATGATAAGAACTTAAGTTCAATCACATACAAAAACTCTCAACTTTTCTTCTTCATTCCTCTCATATGCTTAATGTTATTAGAGTCAAAATGTATAACTTTTAATATTGTATATTTATTAGCAAATTATTGTAGTTATATTGTTATGCATTTGTCTTTTAACTTTTATATGAATTGAACATGATTTATGCATCACCATTATTATATTTTATCTATATCCTTATTTTAAGCAATGAGATTTATAATTTTATGTATTTTCATGCTTCTAATCAGCATCTATTTGTGTCCTCTTCATCTTGAAGAATTCCCTTTAGCATTTCTAATAAGGCAGGTCTTGTAATGAGCTCTCTCAATTTTTGTTTTAGAGTTTTTCTCTCTCCTTCATTTCTGAAGGATAGCTTTGCTCGTATATTATTTTTGGTTGGCAGTTTTTTCTCTTTTAATATTTTGAATATATTATCTCATTTTCTTCTGTGCTACAAAGTTTCTGCTGAGAGGTATACTTATAGTCTTATGGTGATTATCTTGTATGTAATGAGACACTTTTTACTTACCACTTTTTTTTTCAATTTTTTTTTTTTGAGACGGAGTCTCGCTCTTTTGCCCAAGCCTGAGTGCAGCGGCGCTATCTCGGCTTACTGCAAGCTCCGCCTCCCGGGTTCACGCCATTCTCCTGCCTCAGCCTCCGGAGTAGCTGGGACTACAGGCGCCTGCCACCGCGCCCGGCTAATTTTTTGTACTTTTAGTAGAGACGGGGTTTCACCGTGTTAGCCAGGATGGTCTCGATCTCCTGACCTCGTAATCCGCCCGCCTCGGCCTCCCAAAGTGCTGGGATTACAGGAGTGAGCCACTGCGCCCGGCCTTACTTACCACTTTGAACTTTGCTTTTCCTTTGACTTTTATAATTTGATTACAATGTATCTTTATGTAGACTTCTTTAAATTCAACCTATTTGGGTTCCTTTGGCCTTCATGAATCTAGCTTTCCATTTCCTTTTTGAGACTGAGGATGTTTTCCATCATTATTGCTTTAAATCACTTTCTACCAATTTTTATCTCTATTCTCCTTCTATAACTTCCATAACACGTATATTGATTCTCTTGGCAGAGCTGCATAAGTTTCTTAGGCTTTCTTCAGTCTTTTTCATTCTTTTTTTTTGCTCCTCTGATGGAACAATTTAAAATAACCTGTCTTTAAACCTACTGATTTTTTATTCTGCCTGATAAAATCTGCTGTTGAGGCCTCTAGTAAATTTTTCATTTTGGTTATGGTGTTCCTCTGCCTCAAAATTTCTGGTTAATTCTTTTTCATCATTTCTATCTCCTTATTGAATTTCTCATACATTTCATCTATTGTTTTCCAGATTATGTTCAGCTGTCTATCCACGTTCTCTTGTAACTCACTGAGCACCTTTAAGATGATTATTTTGAATTCTTTTGCAATTCACAGATCTCCATTTATCTTGGGTTAGTTACTAAAAAATTGTTTTCTTATTTAAATTTTGTTATGTTTTCTTAATTCTTCATATTCCTTGTAGGTTTACTTTGTTGTCTGTACATTTAAAGAAGCAGATACCTCTTCCAAGCTTTATGTACTAGTCCAGACTCAGAGAGGCATACACACTGGTCAATAGTGCCTAATATGAGGCAAGATAGAGGCCAACTCAACAAGGAGCACACTGTAAGGCTGGAAACTTACTGGAAACTTTCTTCCCCCTGGAGGAAAAGCCTCAGTTCTGTGCTTTTTCCAATTTTATAGAGCAGTGCCAGCTATAAGACGATGTTTGTCTCCTTTCTTTGTTGCATACCTTTCCAGGGATTGAGCTCTGCTGGTTATTCAGTGCTTGTTATGATGCAAGATAGAAACTGGCTCCATGGAGGGCACTCTGAGTTGCAGGAGATAAGGCCCCTTCACTTCTTTCTGTCTTTTCTGGAGGAAGAACCTCTGTTATGCACCTTATTTCCAATCTCACAGAGCTGTTAGGGGCTGCCCTCCCCTTTCCTTGGAACTGGGCTCTGCCAGTCCTTCAGCATTTAGTATGAGATGAGAAAGAACCTCACTCCATAGAGGGTTCTGAAATGCCTGCAATAGAATTCCCTTCACTTTCTTCCTTTCCTCCTAGAGATACAACCTCAGTTCTGTGCCTTTTCCTTATCTTGAATAGCAATGCTGGCTGTGAGGGAATTCTCTTCTCTTTCCTTTATTTCTAGTTGTTTAGAGGACTGGCATCTACAGGTGGTTCAGTGCTCAGTACGAGGCCAAAAAGAATCCAGCTGCAAGAAGGGCACCCTGCAAAGGCAGGAGGCTAGGTGGCCAGGCACACACTGCAATCTCACTTTCCCCACTATAGGAGAAATCATGTACTAAGGCAAGCTTCTCAGTGTTAAACTAAGATTGTTTTGGGGAAGAACCCACATGGATAAAGTAAAATTTCATCTTTTTAAAATTTTAATTTAATTTAATTTTATTTTATTTTATTTTATTTTATTTTTTGAGACGGAGTCTCGCTCTGTCACCTAGCCTGGAGTACGGTGGTGTGATCTTGGCGCACTGCAACCTCCGCCTCCTGGGTTCAAGTGATTCTCCTGCCTCAGCCTCCCAAGTAGCTGAGACTACAGGCACCCACCACCACATCTGGCTAATTTTTTTTTAGTAGAGATGGAATTTCACCATATTGGCCAGGCTGGTCTCAAATTCCTGACCTTGTGATCTGCTCGCCTCGGCCTCCCAAAGTGCTGGGATTACAGGCGTGAGCCACTACACCTGGACGATTATATTTCTTAACCGCATTCTGAATTTCTCCTCAAAATATTTTGGTACTAATACTGTTGTTATATTGACATTTTTTTTTTCTGGAGAAATAAAAGCTATGGCTTTCTACTTTTCTGTCTTGCTGACATTCCCCCACCTTCTCTCAAAGCAATAATTCTTATTTAAATGAACTCATTTCATGTATTTATACAAAAGGCATTCAAGAAGACTTCCTAATTTGGAGGTGTTTTCATGAACTTCAAGCCATTTCCATCCTCTCTTCCCTCCTTCCTTTCTTGTTTGAATAGATTCTCTCCCCCCCTTTCTCCCCGCTTCCCTCCTCCTGTTTCTCCTTTCTTTCCTCATTTCTTTTTCCCATTCTTCATTTTTTATGTTCATTTTCTGAACTTTCTTGACAGTGCATCACAGTCAAAGGACTTTGGTACTCAGTTTATCCTGGAATTTAAACAATAGAATCCCAAAGGTCTGACTTTGTAGACCTCCAAATGCATGAATGATAGTAAAGACAGATTATAGGAAATAATAAGAAGGTATGTAGGCATTCTGACTGACTTGACTTTTCATGCTTAGACTCATTTATCACTTTATTTATTTGAATATAAGAAATGGAGGAAAAGGTTGAATTCTGTGTTATGACTAGAGAAGCCGAACAACTTTAATAAGTGCCATTAACCCATTTCATTAAATTTTGGCACAGTGGTGCATACACATGTTAACAGATTGTAAAGTATGTTCATTAATTAAAATTACACATCTTGAGGGCTTATCTGCTTCACTCACACTCTTTAAAAATAATATGTAAAAAATAAATAAAAATTAAACATAAATTTCGATTGAAAGTAAAAATGCCGAGTGTTAAAAACAAATGAAAATACAGAGATGAGATTTTTAGATCCAAGTAACCAACAAGTTAACATTATACTGTCACTTCTACAGCTAAATTAACATGTAATTCTTCTAATGTGTAATGGTCAGGCAATCAAAGAATAGATAAATATACAGCATGCTGGAATGTTAAAAAAAAATTGGACTAGGGATTAGGAGACCTAAGATCTAGTCCCATTTTTGTTACATCTACCCTGTTGTCCATAAGCAAGCTAATTATTTCTCTCTTCATTTGTGGGGTTTGTACTTAAGCATCTCTAGATTTTAGATTTCCAATTATCACTAGACTTATAGGGCTACTGAAGTTGCTAATGTTGGACCACTGCACAAATTCTTCCTGAAATATACTGAGTTACATGTACTCCAAGAATAGGAACTGATATTTCCTGATGCCCCAGAGGGTGAAATGTGTCCCCTGAAGCATCATTTACCTTAGTGATTTTATTGTGTGGTGCCCATGGAAATGTTATCTAAAGAATAATGATCATGGTGCATCCTTATTTCTTTTATTAACCCAAATGATACAGTCATCATAAGAGATGAGATAGGGAAGCTATAGGACAGTAGAAATATTTATTTAATGTCCTCAAGTTTATTTTTGCCACATAAAATAAAATTAAGTTTTCCATGGAAATAATGGGTTTGAAAATTTGTGACATGACCTGACAAACTATCTCTGATAAGACAATATCTCAAGGAAAATGATTCTGAGTTCTAAACAATAAACAATTTAATTTTGGTGCATAGCTTATTTCTACATTGAAAGTTGTGTACAATTCCTGCAAGCTCCACTTACAGCTTTAACTCTACTTAAATTCTGTTTTCACAAGTACTATCCTTTCTTCTAATTTAGAAAATTAAATGAAAATAACTGTGGAAAGCAAAGTTAATTTGCTACTAATATACTTTCTTGTAAAATGTAAATTTTAAAGAAAAAAACAGAAAAACAAGTAGGCTTACATAAATACACAAAAGTTATTTCATACTAGTTTAGGTATTAAATTTTGTTAAAAAAGGAAAATATATCTTTTTAGAGGAATGATATAGCAAGTCTTCTTTAACCAACAGGTCAAACTGAGCATCACTGATAATGAGACAACTTGACATTAGGTGCTTCCTGATATGATGCAATATGTAATGGAGAAGTTCTTGTCTAAAAGAAATATTTATACTGAACAAAATGAAGCCTTTAGAGTTATCTCCCAGTATAAAGAAAATACACAGATAAGAGAAATGAGTCAGATATTACCACAAGGAAACAATCAGACAAGTTCAGAATGTGGAACAATCTAAAAGACAAGGGTCCTGTGTTTTTAAAACGTCAATGTCATCACAAAGAAAAGAATATTTGGCTGGGAAGTATGGAGAGAGGTGCTCTTTTAAAGAAAAGGACAGTAAAGAGACACAAGCAATGTAATTTTTATACATTGAATGATGATTCACACAAGTAGCTATAATACATTTTGGACATACTTAAGAAAATTTAAATATGAGCTAAACATTAGATGACAGTAGAAAATAATTATGAATTTTTATCTAAAATAATGGTGATGTTATGTAGGAGGATGTCCTTATACTCATGAGACGCAAGATGAAATATTTTAAGGTGAAATCTGTAAGCTACTTTCAAATAGTACAAACATAGACACAAATAAACACACACCAAAATACCAAAAGAGAATTGAAGCAAGTTTGGAAAAATGTTAACAATTGTTTTGTCTAGGTTGTGAGTATATTAGCCTTCATTGTACTATTCTTTGAACTTTTCCAAAACTTAAAAAAAATTAATAATAAAAAGTTGAAAAAGTTGCACAAAAATTTGAATGTATTTAATGTCACTCAACTGTACACTTTAAACGGTTAAACTGAAATTTTATGTTGTGTATTTTTGACCAAAAATTTTAAAAAGTTGGAAAAAATCTTATGTAGAGTAATCCTGTCTTAACCACAGTCAGTGTCAATAAACTAGAGGTTTTGTGAGATCTCTAATTATTCACTTAAGGTTTATCCAGAGACACAATCTTCAAGGAAACACATTCTAGACAACTAAAGAAACTACCAAGTGATTGCTCTGGGATTCTGACTTTTTCTTTTAAAGCAATGGACCAAACTGTGCATGAATAATTTCTGTCATTAGATGACACAGACAGATACTCTAGTAAGGATTCAGTAGGAATTGTTAGTCCTAGTTTATGGGTTATATGCACAGTATATGGCTTTTGGGATCTCTGCTCTATTTCTGAATTTTCCATGAGAGACAGTACTTAATATTTAGCTTGGAATAAAGAGAAGCTAAAATGAGTTAAGTATTGGAAAATTAAATTTATCTGTAAAAGAATTCCAAGTAGATATTACAAAATTTTTTTGAACCACAGTTCAGAGGATATGAGTAGATTCTAAAAGTATCCTGGGACATAACTGAGGTTCAACAAGTCAGGGCCAATGTTTCCCTAAAGACTTTTAGGCTGAAACCACAATTACAGGTCACTTTTAATTCTGTTCAGAGCTCTTCCACACACAAAGCTGTGGGGACACTATAATTCTTACTCACAGTGACTGAAAATGAAAGCCTGGTTAAGTACAAAGGGGTGTTTTCTGCCAAGCTCAATGAAAGAAGGAAGTGGCAAGGGTGGGTACAGGATGGCCAAAATTTCCTAGTCTTAACTGTGGACAGCAGGATTGCTTAAAGTTCTGAAAAATATTCCTAAATTAGGTCTTGTCACAGGAGACACACTTCTGACAAAAAAAAATATGACCTGGGAAGGATTGGGATATGGATTTGAGGTCAAAAGTGACATCTTTACATGTCAAAGTCTTAAATGGAATAATGTACTGAATTAAAAAAAATAATGGCAGTGATCTCTGTTTGGTCCTGGATTTCTGGTTGTACATATGTATGTGTCTGTATATAACTTTGGTTAAGCCAGCTAACACTTTAATGATACAGGTTTTTTAAGTGTTAAAATGTGAAAAAGGTCTTGTATTAGTCCATTATTATATTGCTATAAGGAAACACCCAAGACTGGGAAGTTTATAAAGAAAAGAGGTCTAATTAACTTACAGTTCCACATGGCTGGGGAGGCCTCAGGAAACTTACAATCATGGCAGAAGGCACCTCTTCCCAGGAAAGCAGGAGAGAGAATGAGTGCCAGCAGGGGAAATGCCAGTTGCTTATAAAACCATCAGATCTTGTGAGAACTCACTCACTATCCTGAGAACAGTATGGAGAAAACTGCCCCCATGATTCAATTACCTTCCATCAGGTCCCTCCCGTGACATGTGAGGATTATATGGATTACAATTCAAGATGAGATTTGGGTGGTGACACAGCCAAACCATATCAGGTCCCTAACCTATAAGGTTGTTGTAAAGAGAAAATGAAATATTATATATAATATAATATTTATAAATGTAATATATAATATTTATATATAATATGTAATATATAAATTATTTAGTACAGTGCTTTAGTTATTAATTAGTACTATGCACAGTAAGTGCTCAGTTAACATCATCATTGTTTTTAAATCATCATCATAATCATCTCAGACTGACGCAGTTCAACCTTGTAACCACGGTATGGAACAACCTGAGGGAGACCAAGGGCTGAAATAAACTCACACGTAGTGGGTGAGCAAAGAATATCATGACTAGGCTAACAGAAAATATGACCTCTAGAATCTAAGATAGCAGTTTAAACCAGAAGTCACAAACTCAAATGCCTAAAAGAAGCTAGCAGGTACTATGCATGAGTAACTCAAGGGTGATGGTGGTATCACTATATGTGGTTAGTGAAGTCTGTGTTAATCTAGTAAAAATATGCCCCATCTGAGGAAGCAGCTGCAGTTTAATTCTGGATGACAGTTGAGATGAGAGATCTTTTTTTTTTTTTTTTTTGAGACAGAGTTTCACTCTTTTTGCCCAGGCTGGAGTGCAATGGCGCGATCTTGGCTCACCGCAACCTCCGCCTCCCAGGTTCAAGCGATTCTCCTGCCTCAGCCTCCCAAGTAGCTGGGATTACAGGCACCTGCCACCATGGCCAGCTAATTTTTTTTTGTATTTTTAGTAGAGACGGGGTTTCACCATGTTGGCCAGGGTGGTCTCGAACTCTTGACCTTGTGATCCACCCGCCTCGGCCTCCCAAAGTGCTGGGATTACAGGCGTGAGCCACCGCGCCCGGCAAGATGAGAGATCTTATAAGTTTAAAGAAAATTTCAAGTCCAAGATATTTTGTGGGAAATTTTTTGTTTCTGAAACATTGACACAATTTTACATACAATTGTGCAGGCCAAATAAACAATTCTGCAGGCAGATCTGGTCCAATGACTAATTGCTGATCTCTGGTTTCTGGCTTTTTACATCATACCTATCTAAGATTAGTACTGGTTCTAAAGATTGGGGTGAGATTGAGCCTCTGGGTTGGGGACAAGTAGACCAGAAGAGTGTTGCTTAATGGAGATATAATACGATATGAGCCAGCAATGTGAACCACAGATGTATTTTTGAATTTTCTAGTAGTCGCATTAAAAACAAATAAAAAGAAATAGGTAAAATTATTTTAATAATGTATTTTATAACTCAAAATATCTATCACATTATTATTTTAACATGAAATAATAATTACTAATAAGACATTTTATATTTTTATGAGAAGTCTTCAGAATCAAGTGTGCATTTTACACTCACAGTACATCTTAATTCAAGGTTAACCATACATCAAGTACTCGGTGGCCATATGCGGGTAGTAGCTACCCTACTAGAGAGCACCAGTCTAGGGCATGCTTCTCAAAATTTAATATTGCTATGGTTTGAATGTGTCCCCTCCAAAATTTATGTTAAAACTGGTGTATTAAGTGGTAGGGCTTTTGGAAAGTGATTAAGTCATGATACTTCTGCCTCAGAAATGGATTAGTGCCTTATAAAGAAATTGGAGGGAACTAGTTTAAGCCCTTTTCTGGCACCATCTTGGAAGCAGAAAGGAGGCCTCACCAAATGGCAATTCTGCCAGCACCTTGGTCTTGGATTTTCCAGCCTCCAAAACCATGATAAATAAATTTCTATTGTTTATAAATTACACAGTCTGTGGTATTTTGTTATAGCAGCACAAACTAAGACAAATAAGCATATGGAAATATTGAGGATCATGTTAATATACTAATTCTAACTCAGTGGTTGGAAGAGAACCTGAGATGCTTCACTGTGGGTTCATGGACTATACTTTGCGTATCAAGGAGCTAGGTAGTTGCGGCAAGTCTCCTTTAGTTAGTAGGTTTTCGCTCAAAGTATTTCCCCCTCTTTCAAATTCAGTGAATATCTGCTGAACAGACTAAACTAATATTCTAATGAACAATCACCATATTCGAATTTGGAAAAGCATTAATAACTTTAAAAATAGGCAATATTTTAATACTATTTGTAGAAACCCTGGGTTCATTTACTGCTTTATTTTTTCCTTTTTAAACTTGAGAATCAGCCAATATGTTACCAGAATGCTTTCAGAAGAATGCACTTAAGCACAGGATAAGTGCATATAATTCTAACTTCAGGGGCTTGGAACGTTAAACATTTTAATAAAACAGACAATGGGACTTCAAGGGAAATTTGACAATAATACCTTTCAAAGCTTTAGTATTTAAGGTCATTTTCTGGTCAAGGGTATGAATATTTCATGGAAGCTCTAAAAAGAAACACAAAGAAAAGTTTTTCATTTCCTCTTGATTATCCTATCTGAGGGATGGGTAGAGCTCTATAGGCAAGCCTTAGATCTTTGTTCAACACATGCATAAACATGGAAATGTATGCAAATATATGCGGAGCTTATAAGTGATTCTACATGGTACAGTTGTCCTTGGGATATAAAAGCTTAAACCAGGAATAGTGTTCTAGAGGTGAACAGTGAATTAGAATGCTGAAGAACTTGTCCTGTCTCATCAGTGTTTCACTTATGAACTTTAGTAAGTGGTTTACTCTTTATCTTTTCCTCTCTCTGATGGTAAGAATAATGCTTGTCATGCCCATATCAACAGGGAAGTGTGAAGGAACTTGAAATTGTAACCTGCTATCCACTTATAATTACTCACAAGTGTGTCAAAAAGAAAGTACTGAATCTTAAAGACATAGTTAAGATGGAAGCTGAATTGAAAAGATTGCCAGTTTGGTCAGGGCCCTTTCTACTGCTACATTTCATAATAGTAGCAGCTGTCTATTGACATTTATATTTTCCACAGTAAAAATGCAAGACCAGATTCTAATCATAGCCACAAAATGTTTGTCTCTGCATAGAATAAAAGACCATGCTAAAAGGTAAGGATATAGAGACTTTATGAAATATTTAATTTTAAATTTTGGCTTTAGTTCTGAATCAAACTAAGTATGGAACTTCATACACCTAAGGGACTTTTTCCCCTAATAACAACTGCCTAACTACCATATGCTATATTAATACTGGGCAGTTAAAGATATAAAATCAAAAGCAAAACTATAATATCCTATAAGACAGTATATTTATGACTTCCAAAAAGGATGGGGTTTATTAAACAAAATACAAAAGCACAAACTGCAGAGGTAAAGTTTAAAATGCATTAAGATGACTATCAGAACTTCTGATTTCTGACCATCAAAATCAATGAAAAAAAAAAAAGAAGAAGAACTACACACAGAGAGATGATATTTTGAAATACACATAAGAGGCAAAGGATTAATCAATATCCAAAAATAAATAAAACGAATCTTATAATTTGCAAGAAAAAGAATAGCTCACTTGAAATAACAGGGAAAAATCTTAATAGGTACTTCACAGAAAGAAAATCTGAACAGCCAATAAAAGATACCCAATCTAATAAATAATCAAGTAAATAAAAATGAAAACCACATTGAGAGATCATTTATAACTCACTACAGTGGGAAAGAACAGTTTGTTAATATCTTGTGTTGGTGAGGATGAGGGATAACCAGATCACTTATGCAGTATTTCTCATGGATACAAAATGATACAACTACTCTGAAAAATAATTTGGTATAATCTCTACACTCTTTTGTGTTTCTGGCTTCAAATTTTCTATAAATGAAAAAAATATTTATTTTGTATTTCTGCAGGAATTTATTTCAAGGTAACCAAATAAGTGATAAGGAAAAGTTTTTCTCTATAGAAGAATTCAAGTTAAAAAATTCAGGATAAATAATATAATTATAGATTCACCATTATTCAACCCTTAGTAAAAACATTTAGGTAGCTTTCAATAATAGATGCTAACACCATTGGGTGAAATTTTATGGAAAATCTTGTAATGAAGTAATTAGACTGACACCACTTGAACCTACTGATCGAGCTCAGGAGATCTAAAACTGGGGCGATAGTCAGTACAGAGCATCACATATTAAAATTTCTTACTTAGAAAAAAATTATACTGCATTTAATCAAATCAGTTTATAGGGAATAGAGGAACATAGATAGTAGAATAAACAGCACGATTTTACTGGATCAGTAAAATCCAGAATGTGAGACATTTGAGGACAATGTTTATCAGGACCTGGTTTCTCCAACAAATCAATAGCGTAGAAGATAAAAAGAATGAGGGGGACTGTTGTAAAAAAAAAAAAAAGCATGCAAGAGGTCAAGATATAGTAAGACAAAACACAAAATCACTTGAATTTTGACTGGTCAAACAAACTATAAAAAATAAATTAGACAGTCAATTAAATGTTATTAAGGGTGAAAATGAAATGTGAACTAGGTATTAGATGACATTAAGGAAAGTATTTTGTTAGGTATGATAATGCCAAGATGTTTTCTTTAAAAATGGTATCAGATAAAGATCCATGCTGAAGTGTTTGCAGGTGAAATGAGATATCTTAAATTTGCTTTAACAAAACAAAGCTGCTAAGATAATAGAATTCAGTGTTTTTAATAAATTATTAGTTATAAAGGTGGTGATGAAAAACAAGAGGTCTAGGATAACATCTGGATTTTGCCTTTGGTTTCAAGGGTGATGCCATTTGCCAAGACAGGTGACACAGAAGCAATAGCAGGCTTCAGGAATTAAAATGAATTTAATTTTGAACATAAGTTTTAAGAATCATAAAGGACTCAATTGAGTTTGGAAACCATAAGTTATTAGCACAGCAATCCACAGTTTTGTGAAATTTCCTAAAATTTCCTTCAGCAGTACCCAGTGGGGTAGCTACAAGTGCAGTGAAAAAAATGTGTGGATCGATTGACTTTGGAATGTTAGTAGGTCAGATACAACCAAAAATCAAAAAGACATGGGCAATGGGCATTACTGCAAGAGAGAAGTTAAATGAAATGTTATCCTAGGTAGGACAGGAAAGAGCTAAGTCCATTACAGTGGAGATGGGAGTCAGGCTCGGTGGCTGACGCCTGTAATCCCAGCACTTTGGGAGGCTGAGGCCGGTGGATCACCTGAGGTCAGGAGTTTGAGACCAGCTTGACCAATATGGTGGAACCCTGTCTCTACTAAAAATACAAAAAGTATCCAGACGTGGTGGTATGTGCCTGTAGTCCCAGCTGCATGGGAGGCTGAGACAAGAGAATTGCTTGAACCCGTGAGGTGGAAGTAGCAGTGATCCAAGATTGCACCATTGCACTCCAGCCTGGGCGACAGAGCGAGACTCCATCTCAAAAACAAACAAATCAAAAAAAGGTGATGGATAAGGAAGTCTTCAGATAATATCAGTAAGGGTGGATAGAGGATAACAGGCATCTCAGAGGAGGTAGGTATTGTTATAATCATCAAATAATGATCTGAATACAGCAGTGGAGAGTTAAAGCATAATGCTGCTACTTAATTTTGGGGTTCTATAGTTAAGTAAGAGGGAATAAAAAGTTTTAGCTTGCATGCTATTTAGAAGGGAGTAGAAGAACCCATCTGTGAATAGATTGGCAGTGTAGGGTAGATGCTAGGTGATAGATAAGGGTTCTAGAATAAAAGGCAAGCATTGGTAGTAAAAAGAATGATGGGTGTTAAGGAATGGGTGTCCCAGAATAGGACAGAGATGAGAGAAATGAGGGTGAGCTGATCAGGGGCCAGCACTTTGGCTGGTGACCAAAGAAAAGTGGAGGAAAACATGTTAGATGAGCAGTTCTTGAGGCTTCTGGACAGACCAAGTCCCAAGTGCTGCAAAAGCCTCATGAGGTTAACAAAATTTAGGCACTACTTATCATTAAAAAGGAATGTCACTGGGAATTTACTTATCTTGTCTCTGAAGAATCCTTTTTCTCAGGCTGTTAAAGGAAAAACAATGCATCTATGCTTATTCCTTATTTTAAGATTTAGTTATTTTCATATTAATAACCAGTTATATCACATTCCTGTTATATATACATTAGCATTTTAGGCACAATGTAGACCATAAAATAAAAAGTCTTTGTCCCTGCCTCTAAGGGTGCAAAAATTGTATGTAATTTACCTTATATCTGTAGGCCTTGGAAGAAGTCTTTTTTTTCCAGTAAAGTAGACTTCAAAATCTTCCGTCTTTAGCCTGTGGGCATAGTCGATGTATCCTGATATCTCTTGCCCATGAGAATTTCTGTCACGAATAAAGATCACGGACTGGTAGCACAGAATAGAGAATAAGACAAAAATATAAAAGAGCTGATTTATTATGGAATGCCATAGGATAGAATGATGTAAAACACTAATATGAGTGACCATAGGAAGCAGGGCTTCTGAAAGAGTGGTTATAACATTGAACAGCTTCTTTTTCCCCACTGCACCTAAAAACACATGTTACTCGCCCAGCACGTGGCTCACGCCTGTAATCCCAGCACTTTGGGAGGCCGAAGCGGGCAGATCACGAGGTAAGGAGATCGAGACTATCCTGGCCAACATGGTGAAACCCCATCTCTACTAAAATACAAAAAATTAGCCGGGCGTGGTGGAGGGCGCCTATAATCCCAGCTACTTGGGAGGCTGAGGCAGGGGAATCGCTCGAACCCAGGAAGCAGAGGTTGCAGTGAGCCAAGAACGTGCCACTGCACTCCAGCCTGGGTGACAGACCAAGACTCCGTCTCCAAAGAAAAAAGAAAAGTACTAACAATATTGCAATATTCCAGTTGAAAAACGAAAAGAACAACAGAGATACAATTAACAATTAGTTGTTATTATGCTGATAGCTTTATCTTGATTGCCTTCTCTGATTGTTTAACACTGAATGCTGAGAATACTGTGCTGAAAAGGATTCTCAAGCAAGTTCTTGGTTAAGGGGAGAAAGTGTTGTGATGGATTAGTTATATATCCTACAGATATGGCAGGAGAAACTAGCATTCTTTGTTATTCCTGGGTGCATTCTTATACAGACTTCAATCCTCAGCCCTTTTCATTTTGCCCACATAACTCCATGTAAATTAGTATCAATTTCTCCATGCTTTTAAGCCACTTATTTCTTAATTTATGCAGCACAAATTATAAACAAATGGTAACTCAGAGACTTCTTGCGACTCACACTACAGACCAATGTCTAGCAAGGCTGCGCCTCCTTAAACAAGAACATGAGCTATAATTCTCAATATTTCATAATTTCATATTCATTCCTAAAGGTGCTGGACATCTTTTCACCATCAAGCTTGCTCCCAATGTCAGTTATGTCATATTGGGACACACACACACACACACACACACACACACACACACACACACAGAGAGAGAAGCCCCCACCCATGGAATTATATTACAGAAAAAGAAAAATATCCCAAATATCCTCCCCACTGTCTTTAAATGAGAGATGAACCAAACTTATTTCTCCAGCAGAATGGCAGACTAGATATTGTGACTGACCTTCCTACTAAAAACAAATAAAAATTCTGAATAAAATCTAAAACAATAACTTGTAAAATGCATTGATGCCCTGGCAAGGAAAAGAAATATTCAGAGTCCAAAAACTAAGTGAAAGCAGGAACCCAGAGAGGAGAGCAGGGCCTTAAAATAATCTTTGTTCTGAAAGCATTTGCCCAACCTCAGGGAATTCAAGCAAGGTTTCCATGACCTTGTGGGGTGAGGATGCAGGAAACAAATTCTACCCTTTCAGAGATAGAGGCGCATAGAACTTATTGCCTCAACAGAAAGCTGAGAAATCAAAAATGCATGAAGTACTATCTTCAGTGAATCCAGAAAATAAAAGAATTATCCAGGAACAGTACGCCAGGGAAAATTCTTTCCAGTGAGCAAAATATAAACATCTTCAGACCAAAACAATAATGAGGGATTTGACTAACATCAGATCATTGCTCAAAGAAATTCTGCAGGATATATTTCAGGCAAAAGGAAGTGATTCTAGCTGTCAAGTCAAAGATAAAGAAAAAATAATAATCAAAGAAAGTTGCAAATATAGAGGTACATAGAAACAAATATTGACTGTATAAAACAACAATAATGGCTTCTTAAATAAAAAGAATAATATGTTTAAAATGTTTGAAATAAACTTGTATGTTTGGAGGGAGTGATTAAAGTGTTGTGATGTTCTGGAATTTTCCAGAATGAGGGCAGATGTATTGATCAATTTTAGAATTTGATACATATGTGTGTATAAATCTAGGATGATTATTAATAAATAAGAAATAGTATATATGACCTTTAAATTATAGTGGGATATATAAAGTTAATCAACCAATTAAATAGAAGGCAATAATGAAAAGGAAAATTATAGAAGAGTTAGGAAAAATAAAATACACAAAATGTAAAGATAGTGCCATGGGTTCAATTGTGTCCTCCCCAAATTCATATGTTGACACCTTGAACTCCAGTACCACAGAGGTGACTGTATTTGAAGACAGAGCCTTTTGAAATGTGAATACATTACAATGAGCTTTTTAGGGTGGGCTCTAATCCAAGCTGATTGTGTAAATGTGGACACACAGAGAGATGCCAGGGTGCAGGTGCACAGAGTCAAGACTATGTGAGGACACGGCAAGAAGATGGCCATCTGCAAGGAAAGGGAAAACAGCCCTCCTAAGAAACCAAATCTGCCAACCCCTTCAATTATCTTGGACTTCCAACTTCCAGAACTGTGAGAAAGTAAAATTGTGTTGCTTAAGGCGTTGTCTGGGGTATTTTGTAGTGTCAGCCTTAGCAAACTCACACAGATTATAATAAGTTAAAATAATCAAGTATTTGTAATAAGTATAAATAACTAAATGTTTAAGTTAAAAACAAGCTTATTAGAATATATATATGTATCATATATCATGAAACACAATAACACTTAAAGGTTGAAAGTTAAGTGATCAAAAAACATACATACGGGAGAGTTTTTATCCAAAAAGAGCAGTTATCAGTATACTAATATTAGACAAAATGGATTTTCACATAAAAACCATTACTAGGGATGGAGCTTCACTACATAATGATACAAGGTTAATGTCATAGAAAAACATACAATTCAAAACTTGAGTGAACCTTTAAAAACAAAGTTTCAAGATATTTAAAGCACAAATTGATAGAACTAGAAGAACATATAGACAATTCATGATCACCTTGATGAATTCACTGCCATTATTTCTAGATTAAGCAGAAAATGAATACATAAAAATTATAAAATTGATGTCGATTTAAAGAACTTGAAAACAAACGTGAAGTCTTGGTGTTTATCATAAGCTAATACCAAAATTTCTTTACACTTCATTGTTCTTGTAAGTAAAATGACTGATAATCTAAAATTATATACATTTGGCCATAATTTCACTATTTTATGTTACTATATATAGCCTTCTTGGGTCAGTTAAATCCCCTTTTCCCTGAAACCTGATTAAATTTATTTCAAATATCACTTCTCCAGCTCTGTGAGAGTTAAATGTCTGCTCTGTGATTTTTGTGAATTCTTGGTTTTCTGATGCTGGAGGACTTTAAGTGAGGTCAAGCGGACTATAAGTGCGGGTCCCTCTAGAATCATCGTATACAGCCCTGGGCAAGTCACTCAAACTACTCTCAATGTCTCACTTAGATTCATTAGTTCTGTGCTCTTAAGCACCTTCCTGAAAAATCCAGCAAGTTTCTACCAAAAACAAAGCAAAACAAAAACAAACAAAACAACAGAATCCTGCTTAAACCTGAGCATTTAACTAGTTTGGCCATTGAGCAGCCTCTTTCTTCATGATTCTCCTTTAAGTATGTAGAGCAACAGAGACTCCCTGCCTGCCTGGAACTGCTTAGCTTACATTCATGTGCTGTCAGGGTCATCTGCCCTGAGCACCCAATTTGTAAACATCATGCAAATACTGTTGTTTATTTTCTCAATTAGAATTCTGGTTATTAATCATTGTATCTATGATTTTTTTAAATTTTCAACCAGAAAATGCCCAATTAAATTTTTTAAACCTAAGCTTCTAAATGCAAAAACGATAATCACCTGTGGCTGTTCTCACACAAACCTGCATAGAACAAATGTAAATTCCCTCATTATGTCTTTCCAAGTATGGTTACATATGTGTAAAAGTATAAGAAGATTTGGGAAGATATATATATATATATATATATATATATATATATATAATACTTTAAGTTCTACGGTGCACAAGGTGCAGGTTAGTTACATATGTATACATGTACCATGTTGGTGTGCTGAACCCATTAACTCGTCATTTACCTTAGGTATATCTCCTAATGCTATACCTCCCCCCTCCCCCCACCCCACAACAGACCCTGGTGTGTGATGTTCCCCACCCTGTGTCCAAGTGTTTTCATTGTTCAATTCCCACCTGTGAGTGAGAACATGTGGTGTTTGGTTTTTTGTCCTTGCCATAGTTTGCTGAGAATGATGGTTTCCAACTTCATCCATGGCCCTACAAAGGACACGAACTCATCATTTTTTATGGCTGCATAGTATTCCATGGTGTATATGTGCCACAGAATCTACAAAGACTTGGGAAGATTTTTAAGAAGACTTTTTAGTGAAATTTTTAAAAAGTTTGCTAAAATAAAATATTTTTCTAATGAACACAATGCTTTATTAAATTATTTTTAAAATCCGATTGGAATTATTAGTATGTAGTAATTGCTGACAAATTGTCAGGAAATTACAACTAAACATTTAATTTTAGAAATACATCTTTTAAATGGCACAGTTGAGGGTTATAGAGGCAGAAGAAATGATAACACTGATAATCAGACAGATGTGGTGGCAGATATTAATAGTTGTCAAGAACTTGAGGGTTGGTTGAAATTTCACTGCCTTATTTATATTTTGTGGATTGCCTAAGAATTTGAATGAAGTTAAACTAACAGTCTCAGTTAATTGTGTATTCATTTCAAAATGCATATTTTGCTCCAGAGTTAATAGTAATTATTTCTTCTATGAATACTTGTTATCGTTTATTAAGAAGCCACTATATTCTGAGTGAAGTTTTAAAAGCTTCACATTCATTATCTCATTTAATTGTTTCAAACATTTTATTATGGCTAGATAGCATTATTACCCTCATTTTATAAATGTGGGAGATGAAAGCATTGAGAGTTTTGGTAACTCCCAAGGATATGTAGCTAGAGAGGGGAGCATCCAAACTCACACCCAGCTTGGCTTCCCATGATATTCAGGTTCTTATCTACTGCATGATGGATAGACTTGGATTCAAATGCTGGCTCTGTCACCTACTTACTGTGTGACACTGGTAAGTTAGTAATACATTTTAAAATTTAGTTTCCTCTATAATAAAATGGGCATAATAATACCTAAATTGGTGTGTGAATTAAATAACACTATTTTGCTAAGCCCTTGGTAATGCCTGATACATGGTAAGCACTCAATAAATAATATCTATTGCTTTTGAAAACTTTTGTCATTAATGTTGCTATTGTATTTGTAGCATGTTAAGAGTTTTATAAATTCCTTAGGGGATATGGAAATGGAATAATCATATCAGAATTCCATTGCCTGGTGTATATAGTTATGTTAGGGTTGCCATACATGGTTCAGTTTCTTTCTTAAGTTTAGTTATTCACAGTTAAAACTTTTTATATAATTTGAAGCTAAAATTGAAACAAACGTTTTAGTTATTATATATATATACCTATATATACGTATATGTATATATACGTATATATAGGTATATATGTATATATATGTGTATATATGTATACACATAGGTATATATATACTTATATAGGTATATATATATATATATACCTATATATATACACATACACACACATATATACAAGACACACCCAATTGACAATAAAACCACTATTGTGGCATCCAGAATGGGGCAAATAGGTCAAAAGAGCCCCTTGAAGAATTAGGTTTATTTCAGCCTGAGTGTGATGTATTTCAGTAACTGAAAGCTTTGTTATTCAGAGCCCTATAGACTTAAGAATAATTTTAAAATGTTATAAATAATTGCTTAGGTTTAACTAAAAACATTTTTAAATAAAAGCTTTATTTAAGTATAGTTTACTTAACATAAAAATTCACAATGAAGTTTAAGTGATTTCAATGATTTTTGGTAAATTTATGGAGTTGCACAATACAACTCCAATTTAGAATATTCTCATCACTCCCAAGAGATCCCTTATGACATTTGTAGCCATCCCTATCTCCACCCCCAGCCCCAGGCAATCACTAATCTACTTTCTATCTCTATAGAGTCTCTTTTCTGGATTTTTCATAAAAGTGGAATCATACAATATATGATCTTTTTCATTCTAATAACATTTTTAATCACAGTTAATTTCCCAAAAGACACATGAAAACGATACTTTATATATTAAAAGGCTTTTAAAAATGATGATGCTATGTTTATAAAGGAAAAACTTCCAAAATTCATATTTTCCTTAGATAAAACCCTTTAATCCTATCTAGAACAAGTCAAGGTACAACCAACAAAAGCATTAAAAAAATCACATGCTATTCATTTGAAGCCATGAATACGGATCTATTTATTGGCAACCTAAGCAGAAAATACTAGTTTTTGGTTAACCATGTAAAAAATCCCCACATGAACAAGCAATGAAGAAATATCAAGACACATTGCTTCTGATATTGAAGTGGGGAATAAGACACCAAGGGGCATGTAGAATCTGAGATTTTACTGAGGGAGCCTGTGACCTCAAAAGTGAACCAATGTTAGTTGAAAAGACTTATGCAATACTTAGTTAGGTCCTCATTACCTCTCATATATTGGAAAAAGATGAATTAGAGTAAAATTTAGACCATTAATATATCATTTGGATCTTTGGCTGCTTGTCTTTTCCCAGAAGTGGATTAAAATACAAATTCATGAACTTGTTATAAGCTGACTACATGTGTTGCCTGATTTTTCTTGCCAAATACTAATGAGGGGACATAAAACTGATACATCGAAATGGGACTTTATTGACAGTGAAGCCAAAGTCACTTAAAAAAAAAAAAAAAAGCATGCTAAGCAGTATGTTGCTGTACTGAAACTGAAACATCCTTTTCCAGGGAATGAGAGCTGTCAAACAAAGCTAAGTTCTTGTGTTACCCAGAGAGCAGACTGTCAGTGTGCTCTCTGATAGAGACAAATGAAGGAATCGTTATGTGCTAGAATTTTAAATCTCTTGAATGCGCTAATGAATCATTAATTTTAGGGACCCTTCTTTTTGTTTCAGAACATAAGTGATTTTGCAAATGTAGCCTAAGTTCTCTGCGAATCAACTATTGTTTTCTAACATTTAGAAATGCCCATCATTATAAATCTCTGTGCAACAAGTTATTTTCTGAATGTTTTGTGCTGATAACTGTTTTTAAATTCTATATTATCTCAGTCAATCGCAGTTTTACATATATATATAAAATATATAATTTTCACTATTCATACAATTCACAGGGTTATGTTTAGCACAGTTCTTTGTCTTTCCTGTTGGAGGCTTGGGCTCAGAACAAGCACACTTTTATTTTCCACATCCTGTTGGCCAAAGCAGGTTGCAGGCCAGTCCAGACTCAAGAGGCAGGGCAGAGTGACTTCTTCTCTTGATGGGAGGAACCAAATGTCATTGCAAAAGGTCATGGACAAAGGACAAAGTGGATAATTGCAGCCACTTTGCAATCTGTAGTTATTTACCATAAGAAACTAAGAATTTTGCATATAGCTGGCTTGTTCATTTTGCAATGGTTGGGGATTGATTTCTCAGGGGGAATCATTGTTTTTTTCTCTCCTAGTTTATAAGACGTATCTATATTTTAAATGGCTTTATTTATTTATTTATTTATTTACTATATTTTTCGAGATGGAGTCTGGCTCTGCTGCCCAGACTGGAGTGCAGTGGCACGATTTTGGCTTACTGCAACCTCTGCTTCCCAGTTTCAAGTGATTCTCCTGCCTCAGCCTACCGAGTAGCTGGGACCACAAGCACACGCCACTGCTCCAAGCTAATTTTTGTATTTTTAGTAGAGATGGGGTTTCACCATGTTGACTAGGCTGGTCTCGAACTCCTGACCTCAAATGATCCACCCACCGTGGCCTTCCAAAGTGCTGGGATTACAGGCATGAACCACTGCACCTGACTAAATGGCTTTATTTTGAATTGCCGGTGAAATTAAGAATAATTTAAGAATATCTTGTCTCAATATTAGTATCCAAAATGTTCTAGGATGTCCAGGGATTGAAAATTCTTAAAAATTGAGCTTTAAGTACTTGGAAGAAGAAAATAAAATTATTATATTTATATATGAACTGGTAATTTACTTAGAAAATCCAAAAGAGTGAATTAAAAAACTTCTAAGACAGTTCAATAAGTTGATCCAATACAAAATATTTATACAGAAAAGATGGGTTTTATGCTAGTAATAACCCATTAGCTATTGTGCAGGCAATCTTTACTTGCATTATTTTTTATTAGAATAATAACATTTTGCAAAATATTTTGTGTAAAATAAATTTCTAGAATAACATAAAAACAAAATGAAAAGACTACATCGTTGAACAAAAGTTATGAAATAACTGTGCTGAAATTCTAAGCAAAACACAAGTGGGTATCTTTCATTACTTAAAATTTTAGCTTGAAGAACAAGTGGTTAAGAATAAGATGATTGGAGAGCAGCCAAGATGGCTGAATAGGAACAGCTCCAGTCTACAGCTCCCAGCATGAGTGACGCAGAAGACGGGTGATTTCTGCATTTCCATCTGAGGTACCGGGTTCATCTCACTAGGGAGTGCCAGACAGTGGGCACAGGTCAGTGGGTTCAGTGCACCGTGCACGAGCCAAAGCAGGGTGAGGCATTGCCTCACTTGGGAAGCGCAAGGGGTCAGGGAGTTCCCGTTCCTAGTCAAAGAAAGGGGTGACAGACAGCACCTGGAAAATCGGGTCACTCCCACCCGAATACTGCACTTTTCTGACGGGCTTAAAAAACGGCGCACCAGGAGATTATATCCTGCACCTGGCTCGGAGGGTCCTACACCCACGGAGTCTCGCTGATTGCTAGCATAGCAGTCTGAGATCAAACTGCAAGGTGGCAGCGAGGCTGGGGGAGGGGCGCCCGCCATTGTCCAGGCTTGCTTAGGTAAACAAAGCAGCTGAAAGCTCCAACTGGTTGGAGCCCACCACAGCTCAAGGAGGCCTGCCTGCCTCTGTAGGCTCCACCTCTGGGGGCAGGGCACAGACAAACAAAAAGATAGCAGTAACCTCTGCAGACTTAAATGTCCCTGTCTGACAGATTTGAAGAGAGCAGTGGTTCTCCCAGCACGCAGCTGAAGATCTGAGAATGGGCAGACTGCCTCCTCAAGTGGGTCCCTGACCCCTGACCCCTGAGCAGCCTAACTGGGAGGCACCCCCCAGTAGGGGCAGACTGACACCTCACACGGCCAGGTACTCCTCTGAGACAAAACTTCCAGAGGAACGATCAGAGAGCAACATTCGCGGTTCATGAAAAACCACTGTTCTGCAGACACCGCTGCTGATACCCAGGCAAACAGTGTCTGGAGTGGACCTCTAGCAAACTCCAACAGACCTGCAGCTGAAGGTTCTGTCTGTTAGAAGGAAAACTAACAAACAGAAAGCACATCCACACCAAAAACCCATCTGTACATCACCATCATCAAAGACCAAAAGTAGATAAAACCACAAAGATGGGGAAAAAACAGAGCAGAAAAAATGGCAACTCTACAAAGCAGAGCACTTCTCCTCCTCCAAAGGATCGCAGTTCCTCACCAGCAATGGAACAAAGCTGGACAGAGAATGACTTTGACGAGTTGAGAGAAGAAGGCCTCAGACAATCAAACTACGAGCTACAGGAGGAAATTCAAACCAAAGGCAAAGAAGTTAAAAACTTTGAAAAAAATTTAGACGAATGTATAACTAGAATAACCAATACAGAGAAGTGCTTAAAGGAGCTGGTGGAGCTGAAAGCCAAGGCTCGAGAACTACGGGAAGAATGCAGAAGCCTCAGGAGCCGATGCGATCAACTGGAAGAAAGGGTATCAGCGATGGAAGATGAAATGAATGAAATGAAGCGAGAAGGGAAGTTTAGAGAAAAAAGAATAAAAAGAAACGAACAAAGCCTCCAAGAAATATGGGACAATGTGAAAAGACCAAATCTACGTTTGATTGGTGTACCTGAAAGTGATGGGGAGAATGGAACCAAGTTGGAAAACACTCTGCAGGATATTATCCAGGAGAACTTCCCCAATCTAGCAAGACAGGCCAACATTCAGATTCAGGAAATAAAGAGAATGTCACAAAGATACTCCTCGAGAAGAGCAACTCCAAGACACATAATTGTCAGATTCACCAACGTTGAAATGAAGGAAAAAATGTTAAGGGCAGCCAGAGAGAAAGGTCGGGTTACCCACAAAGGGAAGTGGATCAGACTAACAAGCGGATTTCTCAGCAGAAACTCTACAAGCCAGAAGAGAGTGGGGGCCAATATTCAACATTCTTAAAGAAAAGAATTTTCAACCGAGAATTTCATATCCAGCCAAACTAAGCTTCATAAGTGAAGGAGAAATAAAATATTTTATAGACAAGCAAATGCTGAGAGATTTGTCACCACCAGGCCTGCCCTAAAAGAGTTCCTGAAGGAAGTGCTAAACATGGAAAGGAACAACCAGTACCAGCTGCTGCAAAATCATGCCAAAATGTAAAGACCATCGAGACTAGGAAGAAACTGAATCAACTAACGAGCAAAATAACCAGCTAACATCATAACGACAGGTTCAAATTCACACATAACAATATTAACTTTAAATGTAAATGGACTAAATGCTCCAATTAAAAGACACAGACTGGCAAATTGGATAAAGAGTCAAGACCCATCAGTGTGTTGTTTTCAGGAAACCCATCTCACATGCAGAGACACACATAGGCTCAAAATAAAAGGATGGAGGAAGATCTACCAAGCAAATGGAAAACAAAAAAAGGCAGGGGTTGCAATCCTAGTCTCTGATAAAACAGACTTTAAACCAACAAAGATCAAAAGAGACAAAGAAGACCATTACATAATGGGAAAGGGATCAATTCAACAAGAAGAGCTAACTATCCTAAATATATATGCACCCAATACAGGAGCACCCAGATTCACAAAGCAACTCCTGAGTGACCTACAAAGAGACTTAGACTCCCACACATTAATAATTGAAGACTTTGACACCCCACTGTCAACATTAGACAGATCAACAAGACAGAAAGTCAACAAGGATACCCAGGAATTGAACTCAGCTCTGCACCAAGCGGACCTAATAGACATCTACAGAACTCTCCACCCCAAATCAACAGAATATACATTTTTTTTCAGCACCACACCACACCTATTCCAAAATTGACCACATAGTTGGAAGTAAAGCTCTCCTCAGCAAATGTAAAAGAACAGAAATTATAACAAACTATCTCTCAGACCAGAGTGCAATCAAACTAGAACTCAGGATTAAGAAACTCACTCAAAACCGCTCAACTATATGGAAACTGAACAACCTGCTCCTGAATGACTACTGGGTACATAATGAAATGAAGGCAGAAATAAAGATGTTCTTTGAAACCAACGAGAACAAAGACACAACATACCAGAATCCCTGGGACGCATTCAAAGCAGTGTGTAGAGGGAAATTTATAGCACTACATGCCCACAGGAGAAAGCAGGAAAGATCCAAAATTGACACCCCAACATCACAATTAAAAGAACTAGAAAAGCAAGAGCAAACACATTCAAAAGCTAACAGAAGGCAAGAAATAACTAAAATCAGAGCAGAACTGAAGGAAATAGAGATACAAAAAAACCCTTCAAAAAATTAATGAATCCAGGAGCTGGTTTTTTGAAAGGATCAACAAAATTGATAGACCGCTAGCAAGACTAATAAAGAAAAAAAGAGAGAAGAATCAAATAGACACAATAAAAAATGATAAAGGGGATATCACCACCGATCCCACAGAAATACAAACTACCATCAGAGAATACTACAAACACCTCTATGCAAATGAACTAGACAATCTAGAAGAAATGGATAAATTCCTCGACACATACACTCTCCCAAGACTAAAGTAGGAAGAAGTTGAATCTCTGAATAGACCAATAACAGGAGCTGAAATTGTGGCAATAATCAATAGCTTACCAACCAAAAAGAGTCCAGGACCAGATGGATTCACAGCCGAATTCTACCAGAGGTACAAGGAGGAACAGGTACCATTCCTTCTGAAACTATTCCAATCAATAGAAAAAGAGGGAATCCTCCCTAACTCATTTTATGAGGCCAGCATCATCCTGATACCAAAGCTGGGCAGAGACACAACAAAAAAAAGAGAATTTTAGACCAATATCCTTGATGAACATTGATGCAAAAATCCTCAATAAAATACTGCCAAACCAAATCCAGCAGCACATCAAAAAGCTTATCCACCATGATCAAGTGGGCTTCATCCCTGGGGTGCAAGGCTGGTTCAATATACGCAAATCAATAAATGTAATCCAGCATATAAACAGAACCAAAGACAAAAACCACATAATTATCTCAATAGATGCAGAAAAGGCCTTTGACAAAATTCAACAACGCTTCATGCTAAAAACTCTCAATTAATTAGGTATTGATGGGATGTATCTCAAAATAATAACAGCTATCTATGACAAACCAACAGCCAATATCATACTGAATGGGCAAAAACTGGAAGCATTCCCTTTGAAAACTGGCACAAGACAGGGATGCCCTCTCTCACCACTCCTATTCAACATAGTGTTGGAAGTTCTGGCCAGGGCAATCAGGCAGGAGAAGGAAATAAAGGGTATTCAATTAGGAAAAGAGGAAGTCAAATTGTCCCTGTTTGCAGATGACATGATTGTAAAATCTAGAAAACCCCATTGTCTCAGCCCAAAATCTCCTTAAGCTGATAAGCAACTTCACCAAAGTCTCAGGATACAAAATCAATGTACAAAAATCACAAGCATTCTTATATACCAATAACAGAGAAACAGAGAGCCAAATCATGAGTGAACTCCCATTCACAATTGCTTCAAAGAGAATAAAATACCTAGGAATCCACCTTACAAGGGATGTGAAGGACATCTTCAAGAAGAACTACAAAACACTGTTCAGTGAAATAAAAGAGGATACAAACAAATGGAAGAACATTCCATGCTCATGGGTAGGAAGAATCAATATCGTGAAAATGGCCATACTGCCCAAGGTAATTTACAGATTCAATGCCATCCCCATCAAGCTACCAATGACTTTCTTCACAGAATTGGAAAAAACTACTTTAAACTTCATATGGAACCAAAAAAGAGCCCTCATCACCAAGTCAATCCTAAGCCAAAAGAACAAAGCTGGAGGCATCACGCTACCTGACTTCAAACTATACTACAAGGCTACAGTAACCAAAACAGCATGGTACTGGTACCAAAACAGAGATATAGATCAATGGAACAGAACAGAGCCCTCAGAAATAACACTGCATATCTACAACTATCTGATCTTTGAGAAACCTGAGAAAAACAAGCAATGGGGAAAGGATTCCCTATTTAGTAAATGGTGCTGGGAAAACTGGCTAGCCATATGTAGAAAGCTGAAACTCGATCCCTTCCTTACACCTTATACAAAAATTAATTCAAGATGGATTAAAGACTTAAACGTTAGACCTAAAACCATAAAAACCCTAGAAGAAAACCTAGGCATTACCATTCAGGACATGGGCATGGGCAAGGACTTCATGTCTAAAATACCAAAAGCAATGGCAACAAAAGCCAAAATTGACAAATGGGATCTAATTAAACTAAAGAGCTTCTGCACAGCAAAAGAAACTACCATCAGAGTGAACAGGCAACCCACAAAATGGGAGAAAATTTTCGCAACCTACTCATCTGACAAAGGGCTAATATCCAGAATCTACACTGAACTCAAACAAATTTACAAGAAAAAAACAACCCCATCAAAAAGTGGGCGAAAGACATGAACAGACACTTCTCAAAAGAAGACATTTATGCAGGCAAAAAACACATGAAAAAATGCTCACCATCACTGGCCATCAGAGAAATGCAAATCAAAACCACAATGAGATATCATCTCATACCAGTTAGAATGGCAATCATTAAAAAGTCAGGAAACAACAGGTGCTGGAGAGGATGTGGAAAAATAGGAACACTTTTACACTGTTGGTGGGACTGTAAACTAGTTCAACCACTGTGGAAGTCAGTGTGGCAATTCCTCAGGGATCTAGAACTAGAAATACCATTTGACCCAGCCATCCCATTACTGGGTATATACCCAAAGGACTATAAATCATGCTGCTATAAAGACACATGCACACGTATGTTTATTGCGGCACTATTCACAATAGCAAAGACTTGGAACCAACCCAAATGTCCAACAATGATAGACTGGATTAAGAAAATGTGGCACATATACACCGTGGAATACTATGCAGCCATAAAAAATGATGAGTTCATGTCCTTTGTAGGGACATAGATGAAATTGGAAATCATCATTCTCAGTAAACTATCGCAAGAACAAAAAACTAAACACCGCATATTCTCACTCATAGATGGGAATTGAACAATGAGAACACATGGATACAGGAAGGGGAACATCACACTCTGGGGACTGTTGTGGGTTGGGGGGAGAGGGGAGGGATAGCATTGTGAGATATACCTAATGCTAGATGACGAGTTAGTCGGTGCAGCGCACCAGCATGTCACATGTATACATATGTAACTAACCTGCACATTGTGCACATGTACCATAAAACTTAAAGTATAATAATAAAAATAAATAAATAAATAAAAAGAAAATAAGATAAAAAAGAATAAGATGATTTATAAAGGAGAAATAAACAGTAGAACTTGCACTATTAGACAAAATAGCTACAATAATTACATCATATATCATTGGTACAGTGATGAATATAGATCAATGAAAAATACTAACTTCAGAAACACACCCATGTACACAAATGTGTATGCATATAATATATATGCTTTCCATAAGTTGATTTTGTTTATATTTTCTAAATTTCTAAAACAAATATCTATTCTTTCTTTGACTGCACAATTCCAAAATCTTGTCTTTATCCACTGTTTTCTGACCTCCATCACTTGTCTTTCTAGCTAACATATTCAATCCAATAATCCTTTCGGCTCTTTGGAGTCACTAATCCATTAAACCATCGTATTTTAGTATGCTTGTCTTCTTTATTTGCTCATTTTTTCTCTTTATTAAATTTAGATTCCACAGTGTAGCATCAGAATTGTTCAGTTGTTTAGCACTTCAAATTTCTTGCACACATCCTTCTATCTAGTTTAGAAAATTCTGATACCGTTTCAACCCAATTTTCCTTTTCTGTTTTTTTTTTTTTTTTTTTTTTTTTTTCATAGCAACAGCTGAGTTTGGCTAGAAAAAGAAACTATGATGACTGGTCTCAGTAAAAATTAATGACCATAAACGCCCACGCTCCCAATTTTTTTTACATATCTTCTCTCTCATCAAACTTTCACGAACACCCTTTCTCACATTCAATTATTTTCTCTCTGGAAATACAAACAATCAGAACAGAGCCACTGTGTCTTCCGCCCATCAGATGTGCTGATCCATCTGCACCTAGATCTGTGTTCTTCCTTTCATCCTGTTATAATGGCTGGGATATCCATGCTTCTGTCCGAGGCCAGTCTCTCTTTTTGTGCATTTGACCTCATTTCATCTCATGTTACTTTCAAATAATTGATTTATTTACCTTGTGTAAGTTCATTACTATTAACATTTAAACATTCTGTACTATCTAGTATTTGATAAAGAGACTAATTACAGTCCCGCATGTCTGCTTCTCCTTATAGCAGAATCCTCAATATTTCTTTAGCTATTACAGTCATTTTCCTGCAGCACTCTGCTGAAATAGCTTTGTTTCTCACACCAACTATTTTATCTTTCCAAATCCAAAGGTCAATTTTGATTTTTAAAAAATTTTACTTGAACTCCAAGTGGCATTTGACATAATTGTTCACCACCTCTTTTTGTGAAATGTCTTCTTCATCTGCATCACTGACACTGTGTATTCTCAAGGTTTTATTCTGCTTCTTCAATCTCTTCTTAATTGGCTCCTTCTCTTCTTCCTGACCTCTAAATTTTGGAGTTCTCCCAGGCTTAGTCCTCATCTTTTCTCTGTCTGCATTCACACACCAGTTGATCTTATCCAGTTCCATGAATTTACTTAATTATCACTTTTTACTCTTTCATGAATTTCAGACTAGTGTATATATTCTTTTCTCTCTTCTCTAAGGTCTCATAGACAACTGAAACTGAACATGTCCATCACACAACTTCTTTTAATATCCTGTCTCACCACCTCAACCAAATCTTCTTTCCATGTAATATGCAACATTATTTACCTAATTGCTCAGGCCAAAAACCTCGGGGTTCTTCTTGATGCCTACTTTTCATGACACTTCACATTCATTTCAATCCATTCACAAGTCTTGTTGCCTCTACCTTCAACATATATAGTCTGTTTCTTGCATATTTTTCCAACCTGATTCCCACTATTTTCCCTATAACTTATTCTACTCCAGCCATATGGGTCTTCTGATAAAAATGTTTCTGCCTAGGGCCCTTTTGTATGATATGTTTTCTGCCAAAAATGGCCTTTCCTCAGCTATCTAAAAATCTTGGTCTCTCACTTCATATAGATTTCTGCTAAAATTTCACTCCTCTAGAAATCTTCCTTGGTCTCTCTAACAAAAGTAGCATATACATTCCAGGTGCTATGGCTTTGCCTTGTTTTATTTTTGTTCACAGCAGCTATATCTATCTTGGTACTTATTTCTTTATGCTTTACTTCATTTTAAAATTGCCTTTTGGCTGGGCATGGTGGCTCATGCCTGTAATCCCAGCACTTTGGGAGGTCGAGGCGGGTGAATCACCTGAGGTCAGGAGTTCGAGACCAGCCTGATCAATATGAGAAAACCCCGTCTCTACTAAAAATACAAAAATTAGCTGGATGTGATGGCAGGTACCTGTAATCCCAGTTACTTGGGAGGCTGAGACAGGAGAATTAATTGAATCCTGGAGGCGGAGGTTGCAGTGAGCCAAGATCATGCCACTGCACTCCAGCCTGGGCAATAGAATGAGACTCCGTCTCAAAAATAAATAAATAAATAAATAAATAAAAAGAAAATAAATTGCCTTTCTTTCTCCTTAGTTTGCAGGGGCCATAAAGGTAGAGACTTCATTTTGTTCTACATGCTATCAACAATGTCCTGCACAGTGCCTGGTACATACTGGCCGCTCAACAACTATTTGCTGAGTGAATGCATTGATGATATTCCTAATATGCATCTATCAAAAGGAATAGAATAGAATAACTAGTTGGGTTTCATGTTGCTGAATATTAGAAAGAGAACTTTACACTTGTGATGTCATCAAGAGCATTTTCAATAGATGATGAGGCCAACTATGATGAATTAAAGAGTGAATAGAGAAATAAGAAATAAACATATCTTACTTAGATAACCCTTCAGAAATCTTTTTGCTAAGAGCAACAGAGAAAGGAAGTTGGTTCTTTCTTGAATAGAATGCAGTGTCAAAGGAATCACGTAAATTAATAATGCTTCCTTCTTTGCTTTTATCTGTTTGGAAAACATAGAATCAAACTTTTTGTTTGCCATAAAAACAATTCTATGTTCAAACTTCTCTTTTTGATTTATCTTATTATCTTATTACTTTATTATTCTCTCCCTCTGTCTCTCTCTTTCTGTGGTGTGTGTGTGTCTCCAATTTCTTCATTTTATTGGGTGTTTCTCTAAGTTTATCACACATAAGAATCACCTGAAAGGCTTGCAAAGCACAGATTGCTGAGTCCCATCCCCAGAGTTTCAGATTCAGTAGGTCTGGGATGATGTCCAAGAATTTGCATTTTTAACAAGCTCTCAGATGACGCTGATTCTGCTGATCAAGGGAATTGCACTTTGAGAACCACAGTTTTATTTTAATGTGTTTGTGCTTTAGTGCTGACTTGGAACAGGGCAAGAAAGAATAAAGAGAAGAAACAGAAAAGGGAAGAGAAGGCGGGAAGGAGGTATAAAGGTACAATACAAAAATGTTTAATAATTAAATAGTTATATAGGTAGGTCTGAATATAAAAATATCCAGCTCCCTTCTTATATTCTCCTCTTATATTCCTTTAATTGCCAAAAGAAGCCCAGATCTATCCTTGTAGAAGCTGACACACATTTAGTAGTACAATCGCAGATCAATAATAAACACCAGCTGAATCTTCCTGACAAATCATATCGCCAGGGTTTTAATGATAGAAATTCAACTGTAGTTCCACACTGAGGCTACTGTAACCAACATAACAATGTGCCAGAGAGCCAAGATCCGTGATGTCATTCCAATACCAAATAATAGATCAGCTTAACAGAAGATGAAGGCTGAATTGAATATCCCTGAAAATGGTCCCATCCCACCCCATATTTTCATACTCAAATTACTATTTCTACATGACCCTATAGCTTACTTGATTTTTCCAATTGTTTTGATGCTTTGATTGGGTCTTTCTCAAGTCATTTTTCTTCTACTTTATGGATCAGTTCATGGGTCAGGGTTGCCCAAATACCCTGATGTTCTTCTATACCTTTCAGTTCCTACAAAGGCAATCATTCCTTCTTTTTCTTCTCCTTTCATTCCAACTATGTATTTTCCCTACATTTTTATAAGTGTAAAATGACATAATCGTGAAATAATGAAATGCATAGTGTCTTTCTTATTTTCATCTATTTTCACAAAATGTTAAGAGGTTTAAAAGAAAGAATTTACTTAGAACCACAGGAAAATGTTGATGGAAGTTTTACAAAGAACTGATCAGTGCCTAGCTCATAGTAGATGCTTAAAAATATTTGTTGAAAGAATGATTAAATTAATAAGGAATTAATACATTTCTTAGGCTTCATTACTGGATCCTCTTTATATAGATGCTCCTTAGCTTGGCCAGACATTATTTTCTTGAACAGTGACTTCAACTACCACTTATACACCAGAAGCTTTTAAATCGTTTATCTCCAGTTTTGAGGTTTTTCCTTGATTTTTAAAATTGTCTGTGTTACTGTCTACTACATCAGTCTAACTGGATGTAATCCAGGCATCTAGATTTTTAAAACCATGTCATTCCATAAATTTGCTCTTATGTTTGTTATAAGAACAAATATCTACACTATCAACCAAAAAGTAGAAGCTTCTGTATTAACTTTGATTTCTTTTACTTCCCACATCTAATTAATCATCAAATTCTGCTGATTTTAGCTTCAAGAAATATCTCAAACCATGTCTTTGCTTTGTGTGATGATTGCCAATATCTTATTTCAAACCTCATTGTTTCCCTGTTGAACTATCATAACTACTTTCCTGGATACCGTTCATTCCTCACTCTATCCATTTTCAAAATTAGCTAAGAAATTCTTCTCTAAAATGGAAATCAGCATATGATTCTCCTGTTTTTATTAGCTACTTGGAGTTCTGAAGTGCAACCTTTTTACTATTGCGAATTGCTCATGATGTCCTACCAAACTATTATTCTAGGACCACTCTCACCTCTCCCTTACATATAATTCCTTTTGTGTAAGGTATTTAATTTCATATTTATATTTATTTTATTCAATAATGCATTCATATGCTTTCTAAAACTCAAGTTTTAGAAATGCATTCATATACTTTCTAAAACTAACCTCAAAGTTTTCCAAGAAATAAAGTATTACCATTTTCTCCTCCCTCATCTTGGTATCTGTTCCTCAAATGAACCTTCTTTAACTCTTAGTTGTTTCTGAATAACATATTAATACTGATATTTCTTAATGTTTTTCTTTTTGTTTCTACTTCTAATTATATGGAAGATGATGATTTCTAATATGTATCTTTTCCACTCTCAAACCATTCCTAAACTTTTTCTCCTTTTATCACCCCCCCCACCGCCATAAAGCTATGCCATAATTTTAGGTTAAAAAATTAGTCAGTGTTTTCAATTTTTGTACCTTATAAACATTAGCCACAGCTGAGCTATAGAATCAGAAAGTTGAAGTATCTATTCCCTAGCTATGATTAAATTTTCTTTCTTCAGACTTTTTATTTTCTATTGGGTTGTTTTGACTTTTTTACCTCCTCAGTTTATTTAAGCTTTAAAATGTTTAATTGACACATAATAATTATACATATTTATAGGGTACTGTGTGATATTTCAATATATGTATACATTGTGTAATGATCAAATCTGGGTAATTAGCATATCCATCACCTCAAACATTTCTCATTTCTTTGTGGTGAGATTATTCAGAATCTTCTACCTATTTTAAAATATACAATACATTGTTTTAACAATAGTCCCCCTACTGTGCAATAGAACTTCAGAATTCATTCCACCCATCTAATTGCAACTTTATATCTGCTGACCAACCTCTCACCATTTCTCCCTCCCTCTACCCTCCCTAGCCTCTGGTAACCACAATTCTCCTCTCTACTTTTATGAGATCAACTTTTTTAGATTCCACATATAGGTGAGATCAGGCTTACTCTCTTGATTTTCTATGTACCTATCACTAATCCCCTCAAAATTTCCAGCAAAACTATAACTATCTTCTCAATGTATTCATAGTCGGTCTGTTTTTATTTTCCTGGGAATATGCCCTCAGAAACTCACTGCTTTCTTTTACCTGTACTTGATTTTTTTCTAGGTTTCAAACAGAATTAACCATCATTTCAGGGAATTCTTTTTACCATCGTCTTGGGAATTTCCTCTGCTTCCCATCTGAGCTCTCATAACAGTTTTAAAAATACATCCATGTACCCCATAACAGCATTTTGGTTAACAACGAACCTCATGCACCATGGGGGTCCCATACTACTATAATGGAGCTGAAAATTTCATATCGCCTAGTGACATCTTGATGATCCTGACCCGGTGTAGGCTAGTTTTGTGTTAGTTTTTAACAACAAAGTTTAAAAAGTAAAGAAAAAATAATAAAAAATTTTAAAAAAGAAAAAGTTTGTAGAATGATATAAAGACAAATATTTTATGTAACTGTACAATGTGTTTGTGTTTTATATTGTGTTATTACAAGAGAGTCAAAAAATTTTAAAAATTTGAAATTTCATAAAGTAAAAATGTCATCGTAAGTTAAGGTGAATTTATTATAGAAGAAAGAAAAATGTTGTTCTATAAATTTAGTGTCACTTAAGTGTACAGTGTTTATAAAGTCTACCATAGTGTACAGTAATGTCCTAGGCCTTCACATGCACTCACTACTCACTGACTCACCCAGAACAACTTCCAGTGGTACAAGCTCCATTCATGGTAAGTGCCTTATACAGGTGTACCATTTTTTATCTCTTATACTGTTTTTGTTTTGTTTTGTTTTTGTTTTTTTGAGACAGGGTATTGCTCTGTCACCTAGGCTGGAATGAATTAGTGTGATCATGGCTTACAGCAGCCTTGACCTCCTGGGCTCAACTGATCCTCCGTCTCAGCCTCTCATGTAGCTAGGATTATAGACAAGTGCCACCACACTCAGCTAATTTATTTTTAGTTTTAGTATTTGGAGAGTGAGGATCTCACTATATTACCCAAGCTAGTATCAAACTCCTGGGCTCAAGCAATCCCTCCCACCACAGTTGCCCAATATACTATATTTTTATTGTGCCTTTTCTATGTTTAGATACACAAATACTTACCACTGTGTTACAATTGCCTACAATATTTAGGCAGTAACATTGCACAGGTTGGTAGCCTAGAAGCAATAGGCGTCTAGGTTTGTGCGAGTAAACTCTATGTTTACAAAAAGATGAAATTGCCTAACATCACATTTCTCAGAACATATCCCTGAGGCATAACTATGTTTCTATGTTAGTACTCATCACTTTATATTGTGGTTTTTGAGGTTCTTGTAGTCTGGACAGCATATGTTTATCAAACTTTGTATCCCTTTTTTTTTTGAGACAGGGTCTCACTCTATTGCCCAGACTGGAGTGCAGTGGCATGATCTCAGCTCACTGCAGCCTCGACCTCCCAGGTGCAAGCCATTCTTCTACCTCAGCCTCCCGAGTAGCTGGCACTACGGGAGCACACCACCACACTCAGCTAATTTTTGTATTTTTTTGTAGAGATAGGGTTCTGCCATGTTGCCCAGGCTGTTCTTGAACTCCTGAGTTCAAGCGATCCACTCACCTCAGCCTCCTAAAGTGCTGGTATTGCAGGCATGAGCCACCATGCCCAGTCTTAACTTTGTATCCTTAATATGTTTCCTGTCCTGATTCACAGTAGGTGTATAGCTGACAGGGATTTGGGATTGAGATAATTAAGCAAAGGCCAACAAAATAATCTTCAGGGAACTATTTATCTAATTATGCTTCACAGAAAGTGTCACCATGCAACAAATAGTAGCCCTAAAAGCTATTGTTTATTGAGTGTTTACTATATGCCAGAAATTTTCTCATTTAATTTTAACCCAAGCCCCATAATGTAGGTATCATTGTTAATTCTGTTTCACAGATGAGAAAACTGAAGCATGAGAAGGTTAAGTACCTGGCCTAGGGTCACGTAGTTAGTGCATCAGTCAGATTTCTAACTTGAAACAATGGCAACATTTGTTTGTTTACACAGGAACTAATAGATGGCATGTAGGGTCACCACAAGGGATATTGCATGAACCTGGAGCTATTAGTAATAAAACTGACATCATCTCTGCCACTAGACTTCCCCCAACACTACTCCCAAGAGGGAGAGTTTATCAGAACCCAAAAAGGAGAGGGAGGAAGAGTTGTATGTGGGTATCCGACAGAATTGCAGAGAGATTGTGTCAAGGGGCATAGACAGCTGTATGTCTACGAAGGGCCAAGGGAATAAGTACCTTCTTGCTAGAGTTTTATACTGGCCATATCCCACTGGGGCCAGAGCCTGGTCTCATGCATGTACTTTAATGGAAGCAGCCTTCCTGGGTAGAGCAGGGTGGAGAAGGAAGAAATGAATCTAAAGCAGCAGGAATTGTCAGTCATGATGCTGGGATCTGTACCCAAGCATCTGGACATGAAGCCTATGATCTTACTACTATACTATGCTTGTGGGTGGCAGGCAGGAAACTAGGTTCTGTTTTCAG
Source organism: Homo sapiens (assembly GCF_000001405.40). Classification (NCBI taxonomy): domain Eukaryota; kingdom Metazoa; phylum Chordata; class Mammalia; order Primates; family Hominidae; genus Homo; species Homo sapiens. Next base: position 80,847,050 of record NC_000004.12, on the reverse strand, counting down.
TTCAGACTCCAAGAACAAAATGATTCTTCTGACCAAAGGGATTTTTGTTACCTTTTCACTATCATCACTAAAGGGCATTGTTCTTGCAGAAGAATGCAATTGCTAAGGAGAACAGGGGACAATCTTGGAAACTTACAGAAAATGACAGCAACATTACAGAGGCATTCTCAGTAGCGGGCAGATAGGCACTCAGCACTTTGCAGTGTGCTGGTTGGTATTAAAGGACTTCAGGAGAAAGCAAAGACTAAAAAATCAGAGATAAAGGAGTAGAAAAGAATGTGGTCATACCAATGGGTTAAGAGCACCCTGAGACAAACAACAGAGGATATGAACAAGCCTGAGCAGAATCTCATCAATTAACAGTACTAATTATGGGTTAAAACCACTTCCTCAGTAAGAAGAAACTATAAATCAATATCTGAAACCACTAGATAGGCTGTATAATTCACTGAATATTAATGCATAGTAAATTATTTATAGTTCTCATTATAATTGTCAACCTCAAAAATCTCATTTTCTCTATCAAATTATGAATTTAAAAACCCATCTGTATCTTGTATAGGCACCAGAGTAAATCATACTATGCCTTAGAGGGACTCATTCAAGGATACCTAATGAGAGACTATGTGTACCAAGTGCTGTCCTAGGTGCTGGAGATACAATATTGAACAAAGTAAGACCCTGACCTCATGGAGTTCACAGTCTAGCAAAAGACACACAGAATTTATCACCTGAAAACATGGAATGAGCTTCCTCTCCTTTACCATCTGACCATCTTCTCTTATCCCTTTGAAACTCATCTCATTGGAGGATTTTGTGGACCAATTCCTCCATCCCTATACAGTGTCCCCACAGAACTCATTTCTTACCTAATTCCTATCACACTGCCTCAGGAGATGAATGAGATGCAGTGTGCCTCTAATAAAGTCTCCCTATTAGAGCTTGAGCTGCTTGTGATTAAGGATGCTATCATTTATCTTGGTATTTCCAGAATCAAGCTTCACACCCAGCATAGACAAAACATGCAATAATGTTTATTGACAAAATACATAAGTGAACTATAGAAAAGAGAAGATAAAAATGTATTTCTTCTACCACTTTTCATATTTAACCTCAAAATAAGCATGAGTCATTTGCATGCTTGATAGAAAGAAAAAATAATTTTTCAATAATAAATAAGTCACAATTTATTAGTAATCCTTTATTTGACAGGAGCTTTATTTGCATTTCTGATATACTAGATATTTCTATTTCTATTTTATAATCACATAAAAATTATTTTGCCCAAAACCAACATTATAGGCAGAGATACTGTGCTGTGAAAACAATAAAGTTGAGATTAATTGGAAGAAATCTAGCAGATACGGTAGTTGAATAGGGTCTTCCTGAGAAGAAATTGTTTTACTTGAAACTTGAATAATAAAAAAATCCAGGGGAAGATGTGCGTGAAGAACATTCCAGGCAAAGGGAATAGCAAGTACTCTGGCCCTAAGGCAGGAAATAGTCTTGCCTGTTCAAGAAATGGAAAGAAAGTCAATGTGGCTGAGCAGTAGTGAGAGCAGAGAAGAGGGTGGAGAAGGCATGATGTGAAATAAAATTTGAGATTAGGTAGGAACCAATTTCTGTAGGCCATGTGGGTTCTAATAATGGCTTTCAATTTAACTTAAATGCAATAAAAGTCATTGAACAGTTTTATGCAACAGAATGTAAATGATCAGATTTTTAAAAACATCACTGAAAAACTTGAACGGTCTTTTAAAAAAAAAAAAAACAGTGTGGGACTTGAGCAGATGGTGGTATGAATGAGGATGCATGATAAAACCAAGTCAATCCTAAGCCAAAAGAACAAAGCTGGAGGCATCACACTACCTGACTTCAAACTATACTACAAGGCTACAGTAACCAAAACAGCATGGTACTGGTACCAAAACAGAGATATAGACCAATGGAATAGAACAGAGCTCTCAGAAATAATGCCACATATCTACAACTATCTGATCTTTGACAAACCTGAGAAAAACAAGCAATGGGGAAAGGATTCCCTATTTAATAAATGGTGCTGGGAAAACTGGCTAGCCATATGTAGAAAGCTGAAACTGGATCCCTTCCTTACACCTTATACAAAAATTAATTCAAGATGGATTAAAGGCTTACATGTTAGACCTAAAACCATAAAAACTCTGGAAGAAAACCTAGGCAAAACCATTCAGGACATAGGCATGGCCAAGGACTTCATGTCTAAAACACCAAAAGCAATGGCAACAAAAGCCAAAATTGACAAATGGGATCTAATTAAACTAAAGAACTTCTGCACAGCAAAAGAAACTACCATCAGAGTGAACAGGCAACATACAGAATGGGAGAAAATTTTTGCAATCTACTCATCTGACAAAGGGCTAATATCCAGAATCTACAATGAACTCAAACAAATTTACAAGAAAAAAACAAACAACCCCATCAAAAAGTGGGCGAAGGATATGAACAGACAATTCTCAAAAGAAGACATTTATGCAGCCAAAAGGCACATGAAAAAATGCTCATCGTCACTGGCCATCAGAGAAATGCAAATCAAAACCACAATGAGATACCATCTCACACCAGTTAGAATGGTGATCATTAAAAAGTCAGGAAACAACAGGTGCTGGAGAGGATGTGGAAAAATAGGAACACTTTTACACTATTGGTGGGACTGTAAACTAGTTCAACCACTGTGGAAGTCAGTGTGATGATTCCTCAGGGATCTAGAACTAGAAATACCATTTGACCCAGCCATCCCATTACTAGGTATATACCCAAAGGACTATAAATCATGCTGCTATAAAGACACATACACACATATGTTTATTGTGGCACTATTCACAATAGCAAAGACTTGGAACCAACCCAAATGTCCAAGAATGATAGACTGGATTAAGAAAATGTGGCACATATACACCATGGAATACTATGCAGCCATAAAAAACGATGACTTCACGTCCTTTGTAGAGACATGGATGAAGCTGGAAACCATCATTCTCAGCAAACTATGGCAAGGACAAAAATCCAAACACCGCATGTTCTCACTCATAGGTGGGAATTGAACAATGAGAACACATGGACACAGGAAGGGGAACATCACACACCGGGGACTATTGTGGAGAGTGGGGAGGGATACATTAGGAGATATACCTAATGCTAAATGACGAGTTAATGGGTGCGGCGCACCAACATGGCACATGTATACATATGTAACAAACCGGCACATTGTGCACATGTACCCTAAAACTTAAAGTATAATAATAATAAAATTAAAAAAAAATCAGGAAACAACAGGTGCTGAAGAGGATGTGGAGAAATAAGGACACTTTTACACTGTTGGTGGAACTGTAAACTAGTTCAGCCATTGTGGAAGACAGTGTGGCGATTCCTCAGGGATCTAGAACTAGAAATAGTATTTGACCCAGCCACCCCGTTACTGGGTATATACCCAAAGGATTATAAATCATGCTGCTATAAAGACACATGCACACGTATGTTTGTTGTGGCACTATTCACAATAGCAAAGACTTGGAACCAACCTAAATGTCCAACAATGATAGACTGGATTATGAAAATGTGGCACATATACACCACGGAATACTATGCAGCCTTAAAAAGGATGAGTTCATGTCCTTTGTAGGGACATGGATGAAGCTGGAAACCATCATTCTCAGCAAACTATGGCAGGGACAAAAATCCAAACACCGCATGTTCTCACTCATAGGTGGGAATTGAACAATGAGAACACTTGGACACAGGAAGAGGAACATCACACACTGGGGCCTGTTGTGGGGTGGCAGGCTGGGGGAGGGATAGCATTAGGAGATATACCTAATGTAAACGACGAGTTAATGGGTGCAGCACAGCAACATGGCACATGTATACATATATAACAAACCTGCACGTTGTGCACATGTACCCTAGAACTTAAAGTATAATAAAAATATATATTTATATATATATAAAAAAAGAAGAGATTGTTGAGACATAGGAAATGACATAGGAAATAGTGAAAAGATGTTGCCCCAACCCTTCATGATTAGAATTGTTGCAACCAAAATGAGCAAGATAAACATAAATTCTATTTGTTCTTGTTTCAGGCAGTACATTGGCATTTAATGTATTTTATGGTTAAAGGATGGTAGTAAGATTGGAGTTAGCAAGAATACCCCTTCAAACTTTATCCACTGTCATCCACTATGCACAGCTGCAAAGAGTCTGAAGGAAATGAACATTTCAGGCTAGTAAATATTCCTTACTCTGATGTTTTGTTGGCAATCTCTGGTGTCATAGCCTAATCACGTGAAGGGGCAGCTGTTACTTAGGTGCCAAAGGTAATCCTGAGTCTTAAGATTTCAGCTGGCTGAAAAGTGTCTTTCCATATCCCACTTAAGCTCACAAGCCTCGGCTATTGTTATTAGAATATAACATTTACTAGTGATCAAACTCGGTCTTGCACTGTGCTAAGCACTTTCTGTGCATTATTACATTTTACATTCACAATAAAACATACTAAGAAAGCACACTTATCCCCATTTTATTGATCACAGAAAACTGTGATTTAAGAGGCGTTAAGTAATTTTCTCAAGTTATATATGACAGAGCTGGAATTAGAAGCCAACTGTGCTGAATTTCTAAGTCTGTTGTCTTCACTATTGTTCTCTAGTGCCATTCTCCTACTCTGATAGTAAGGAAAAGCTGGAGGGATAAGCCAGGGACATGAAAAAAGAAAGAGGTCTCAACCATGACCCAATGTCTGTGCTAAAACTATTAGATGACTTGGCTGAGTTCACCTGTAGAAGATGGTAAAAAGTCAGAGTTAGAACTTGGGAACCCATGAATATTGCTCAACAACATACAGTAGCCTCTTCTCATCTGTGTGTAATTTGCTTTTTATATCCAGGGGAAGACCCAGCCAAAGTCCCCCACCTCTCCCATCCTCACCAGCCACCCCATTCATTCTACACTCAAGGAGGAGAAGCGGTAAGGTTTCACTATAGGTACTGAGCAGACATGCAAGGGATATTCAGTCTCTTTTCCTTGCTCACACACTGAGAAATACTGGGGTGAGTGGATTAGGCTGTTTCCTCTTGGCCTTACAAAGATATCCCGGGTTGTCTTCTTGCCAAGACCTTTTTTTTATACTAGTAAACAAAAATTTAGAAAAGGGCTTGGGTTAAAAAGAGGTAAGAAGGCCTCTCAATCTATTTTGAGTGTTTTTGGTCACATAAGACAATATTTAACACAGGCAAAATCTTTCATGTGGTTTAGCTTAGCTCTGCCATGGGCCTACTTGGGTTTTGGGACAAAAGCTTCATTTGAAAAGAGGATACCCACTTGCCTGGGTTACTGTCTTAGGAACATGTTGGGGAAGGTTATTATCACACAGGTTTTAGTTATCTGGGGATCCTAATTTGGGATCATATATAATCTTAATACCACCTTTGATATAACTCACATTACTATTAGTAATTTTGTAATTTTTAAATTATTTATTTGGTTTCTAAAAATACTATTAAAAGATCCCATTGTGATAGAAATTGCTTAACCTGTGTAGACTTAACTGCTCATCTGGCAGCATAACAATATAGTCAGGGATTATGTTGGAACATGACAGTGAAGATTTATAGAATGGTATTTGTACAGGAACTTTTGTATGGTCATTTTGAAATTAGGATTTTCAAGACTAGTGCTCTACAGGTTGTTATTCTCTCCTAGATAGGTGGAGTTTAGTGGCCTTATTACCAGTGAGACCATAGGGTCTAGGCTAAATGAATAGCTAGGTCTTCAATTAAGATGCTTACCTCAGTGAACGATGATGCCCTGATTCCTTATGCCATGTGATATAGTGAAATGAGTGCTGGTTAACATTTCATTTATTCAACACATATTTATAAAGTGCTTATTGTTACTGTGTGTTGGGCACATGGATGAATAAGATTATTTCTACCTTTAATGTTCTTACATTCTAGTATGTAATTATACATCTTTCTTTATTGGAAATATTTAGTTGTCCTGAGTGGCAGTTTGGTATAGTGGAGGGATTCTCAACTGGATGAGAGTGAAAACATCTACTTCTAGTTTTGTCATGAGCCGGCTCTCTGATTAGAGATAACTAACTTAAGCTCTTTGTGACTAAATTTCCTCATACATAAAAGAAAGGAGGTGGGACTAAAGAGACATTTGAATGGTTCTTCTAAAAATCTAAAAGGCAAACCAATTATTTGGAGGCTATTTTAGTTTGGCATTTTCTAAAAATCCTGGAATAACTTATGTGCTTAATAAATATGAAATAAAAATAAGATCATCTTAATCCTCTCCTTCCTTTGCTCATAAGTCCAGAAGGATCTTTAAACAATTCAAAACTCTTATGTATCATGCTAGGGGAAAAAAATCAAAACAAACCATGAGAATAAGCAGATAAAAAGAACTGCCCTTAATCTTAAAGTCTCTGAAATCCAAAACATGCAGGATGTGGTTTAAGGGCAATGTGCACATAGAAAATTGTGATCTGAAGATAAAAAAATAATAAATGTGTGTTTATCTTTCTTATCTGCCCATGTAAAATAATTTTGTTCTTAACCATGATAACTAAGCCAAAATAACCCGGTAACATTTACCTTTAAGACAAAACTCCAACTTGTCTACTTTCACTGATGTCAGTTTAAATGTCATGTCATCTAAGTTCTTTCTGCTTTTTGTTTACCATTTGAGTCACACCTATCATCATGGTAAACACTTTTGATAGATGTACCCTTAGAAGTAGCTGATGCTGTACTTAATTATTGAAGATTAGAACACAACATATACCATCTAGTTCAAGTTACATATTCTGAATATGGGTAACTTAATTTGAATGTGGATCACTCAAATCTAAAGTGTAAAATTCATATATTTTTCATAAAAAGATTACTTCTTATTAACAACAACAAAGCAAATTTCTGACATGAACTGTTTCAGATTTTTCTAGGTTAAGCTGCTAAACACAATGTCTTTGCATATGGGTTTTCACAAGAATTATCTCATTTGCAACTCACAACAAAATCCCATAAAGCAGTTTCATTATCTGTAGAGTGGAAGACAAAAATAAATTAAGACATATTAGGCTTCAGAGTGGGCCTGTTTTTCCTTGCTAGAACCCTGGTCATTTCTTGGATGTTTCCTAGGGACTTGAAGGTCTCAGACACAAGAAAGGCATATGGGCTATGTAAAGCCAATCAGGGGCTTTTATTACCTTAAAAGACATTTAGGGGGATTTTTAAAATGGGAATTCCACAAAGAGTATCTTTTTTTTTTTTCAAAGAAGTTTGTCCCCTTGCAAATTCTTATCAGTGAATGTGGCTTTGAGATAACCATGAATAATAATTTGATTTTTATGAGGAATTTACCTTTTTAAAGTGAATTATTTTCTATCTGCTTATTCTAGCAATAGGGTTTGCAGGAAAGAAATTGCTGTAGTGGTCATTTTACAGATGAGAAAACACTTATGGCCAGAGATGACATGGCCTGCCTCAAGTTAGGCTGCCAGTAAAGTCTTGAGGGAGAGGGAAGCAAACCTGCCAAACCTTTCGGTCTCTTGAAATTTCCATTTGTTCATACAGCCTTTTTGTACTTCAAATTGGTCTGTGAATTCAACAGAACAAGAGACAGTATTTCCTTCCCCATGTAGGACAGGAGAATAATACATAGTAAGTGTTTTTAAGGACATTCTAGACAATGTTCTAGACAACTTGTCATTTTCTCAGGACATACTTTGCGATGATGCTGAAAATAATGATGAGGATGTGATACTGCTCATCAGTTAACAAATACACCATAAATATCTACAATGGGAAGAACAGTATAATAAGTAAGAAAGGAATATGAAAAAGCATAATGTATATGATTTGCCACCAAGCAGTTCACAATTCTTTTGGAAGGAAACCTTTAATTCACATAAAAGGCAATAAACAATTCAAGGCAGCTGAGGAACAATAGTGCAGCTTGTATGCACTAAAAGAACGATAAACTAAATAAGCAGTGTGTCTTTGGGAGAAGAAATGTATCACTGTTGTCTAGGACGATCAGTCCAGGCTCATTGTAAAAGTATAATGTAAATGGATTTTGATGAATTCAAGGGTTTGAAACAGATAGAAGTATCCACATATCAACAAAATCAGCAGATAAGAGTTCCTGCTTTTTTCTAATGTTTAGGCAACATATCCACTCAATAGGTTAAAAAATACATTGACTTTCTTCATATAATTAGAAAAAACTACTTAAAATTTCATATGGAGCCAAAAAGGGCCCATATAGCCAAAACAATCCTAAGCAAAAAGAATAAGGCTGGAGGCATCACACTACCTGACTTCAAACTACACTATAAGGCTACATTAACCAAAACAGCATGGTACTGGTACCAAAACAGATACATAGACCAAAGGAACAGAACAGAGGCCTCCGAAATAAGACCACACAACTATAACCATCTAATCTTTGACAAACCTGACAAAAAGCAAGCAATGGGGGAAAGGAGTCCCTATTTCATAAATGGTGTTGGAAAATGGGCAAGCCATATGCAGAAAACTTAAAGTGGACCCCTATCTTACACACTATAGAAAAATTAACTCAAGATGGATTAAAGACTTAAACATAAGACCTAAAACCATAAAACCCTAGAAGAAAACCTAGGCAATACCATTAAGGACATAAGCATGGGCAAAGATTACATGACTAAAACACCAAAAGCAATGGCAACAAAAGCCAAAATTGACAAATGGGATCTAATTAAACTAAAGAGCCTCTGCACAGCAAAAGAAACTATCATCAGAGTGAACAGGCAACCTACAGAATGGGAGAAAAATTTTGCAATCTCTCCATCTGACAAAGGGCTAATATCCAGAATCTACAAGGAACTTAAACAAATTTACAAGAAAAAACAAACAACCCCATCAAAAAGTGGTCGAAGGACACTTCTCAAGAGAAGACATTTATGCAGCCAGCAAACATATGGAAAAAAAAGCTAATCATCACTGGTCATTAGATAAATGAAAATTAAAACCACAATGAGATACCATTTTATGCCAGTTAGAATGGCAATCATTAAAAAGTCAGGAAACAACAGGTGCTGGAGAGGATGTGGAGAAATAGGAAAGCTTTTACACTGTTGGTGGGAGTGTAAATTAGTTTAACCATTGTGGAAGACAGGATGGTGATTCCTCAAGGTTTTAGAACCAGAAATACCATTTGACCCAGCAATCCCATTACTGGGTATTTACCCATTCTACTATAAAGATGCATGCACACATATGCTTATTGCAGCACTATTCACAATAGTAAAGACTTGGAACCAACCCAAATGTGCATCAATGATAGACTGGATAAAGAAAATGTGGCACATATACACCATGGAACACTATGCAGCCATAAAAAAGAATGAGTTCATGTCCTTTGCAGGGACATAGATGAAGCTGGAAAACATTATTCTCAGCAAACTAACAAAGGAACAGAAAACCAAACACCACATGTTCTCACTGGTAAGTGGGAGTTGAACAATGGGAACACATGGACACAGGGAGGGGAACATCATACACTAGGGCCTGTCGGGGGTTGGGGGGCTACGGGAAGGATAGCATTAGGAGAAATAACTAATGTAGATGACAGGCTGATGGGTGCAGCAAACCACCATGGCACATGTATACCTATGTAACAAACCTCCATGTTCTGTACATGTATCCCAGAACTTAAAGCATAATTTAACAAGAGAGATATTAAAAACAAATACAATGAATTGATAACTTGGTGACAGTAGAATTTAATGAACTATAAGAAGAATTACAGGTAAAATATCTGTGACCTCTAATTTTAGCTTTTCTTTTCTCTTAATATGCACTGATAAAAACCAATCTTTTCATCTCAGTTTTCTAATTTATAAAAATAAAGGCAATTTTATCATTTGCTTCAAAAGACATCATCTCAGAAGCTACTAAGCAATATATTTGTTAATAATATTATTAAAAATTATTATGTATCCCTAGTTTAAGGAAAACAACAATTTCATTATAAAAACTACTAGTCAAAAGCCTAGAATTATATTTAATAGCATTTCAGAAAAATAAAATGCTTGGAGGAGTAATGCTTTCAGTGAAAACTTTTTTTTAATTGAGTGACTACAAAATAAAGGTAGTCATATAAAAATAATCAAAAAGTCGTTTGTTTTCTAAGAATAATATGAAACCTTAAAATCTCCTAGATCATCAAAATTAGGTTATATAACTAGAAACTATGTAGCAGGCAGAATCATGCCCCCTCAAAGATATATGCATCCTAATCTCCAGAACCTCTAAATATGTCACTTTCCTTGACATAAGGGATTCTGAAAATGTGCTTAAAGTTAAGGATCTTGAGATGGAGAGATTATACTGAATTATCCAGGTCAGCCCAATATAATCACAAGGGTCCTTATAAGAGGAACAACCTTTCCCAGTTGTGATTAGAGAGGGCAATGTGATTACTGAAGAAGGTCAGGTAAAATTCAACATGTTGGCTTTGAATGTAGAGGAAAGGGGCCATGAACCAAAGAATGTGGGCAACCTCTAGAAGCTAGATAAGGCAAAAAAAATGATTCCTTCCAGAAGCCTGTAGAAAGGAATTCAGCTATGCTGAGAGTTTGGTTTTAGCTTGCCAAGACCCATGCCAGATATCTGACCTACAAAACTGTAAGATAATAAAGTGTGTTTTTTTTAAGCTGCTAACTTTGTGGTAATTTTTTATAAGCAGCATAGAAAGCAATACAGTATGAAATTTCAATAACTTACTTTACATGTGTATTAGAAAGTGTTATTCAAATATTAGTTACAGCCAGGAATTATTTAGAAGAATCAAATTCTATAATTAATGATACATAGGCTTAGTGCAAAAGTGCTGAACCAATTTAATAATTGCAATAGTTAATGAATTAAGCAAGTAGGCCTAGTAATTGAGATACAGAAATAGAGAAATTTCTCAATGCTCAATATGTAAGAGTATCTTCAACGGAAAAGTAAGAGGAGAAAATGAGCAAGAAAGATCATGTAGTAATATAAAGGTATCATAGAAAGGACTTTGCACTCATCTCTTTCAGACTTCCTAAAAAGTTTTGTCAGAAAAGAATGTAAGTCTTAATCACATGAAAGGATGAGAGGTAGTTTATTTTGAAAGGAATTAAGGCTAGTGCACTTGCTCCCTAATGCTGTTATAAAAATTTGCCAGACTTGGTGACTTAAAGCAGTCCTTCTCTCACAGTTCTGGAGGATGGAAGTCCCCTATGAAGGTGTTGGCAGGTCCACACATGTGTTTAATTTCCCTCTGCTGCTCTTATAAGGACACTTGTGATGGTATTTGGGGCCCATCTGGATAATCCAGGACAATTTCTTCATTTCCAGATTCTTTGTATAATTATATGTACAAAAACTTTACAACATAAGAGGACACTCATAGGTTTCCAGGGATTAGAACCTGATATCATTGGGAACCAACAGTCAGCCAATTACAGCTGACTTCTGGAGTGCTCATAATAATCTTTTTTTTTTTTTAATGTGGGTGCTATACTCAGTTGTGTTTACTTTACAAAATGTGTCTGACTCCAGATCCACTGAACCAAAATCTGCATTTTAACAAGATCCCCAGGTGATGTACGTGCAGATTAAAATTCAAGAAGCAGGCCGAGGCGGGCGGATCAGGAGGTCAGGAGATCAAGACCACCCTGGCTAACATGGTGAAACCCCGTCTCTACTAAAATACAAAAAATTAGCCAGGCGTGGTGACGGGCGCCTGTAGTCCCAGCTACTCAGGAGGCTGAGGCAGGAGAATGGCGTGAACCTGGGAGCCGAGATCGAGCCACTGCACTGCAGCCTGGGCGACAGAGCGAGACTCCATCTCAAAAAACAAAACAAACAAACAAAAAATTCAAGCACTATTCAAGAGATATTTGAAAGTGACATTCTCAGAACTTGGAGAGTGACTGGATGGGGTGACTGGTAGTGAAGGAAAGTAAAGAGTAAGTGGGAAGGCAGAATATTAGACTTTAATACAACTTTCTACTTTAAGGAATAAAGATTTTAAGTGAAAGGAACAAATATTTTCAGTTCTAATTTAAAAAAACATGCAGAACAAGAGAACAACAGAGATATTTGGAGTTAGTATGCTGTTGAATTTCTGTAGGTGGCTGGCCATTGTCCAGCGGTGCAAGTCTCTCCTTCATCCAAGTACCGATGACAAGCACCCAGCTCAACCAAAGTGTTCCATGAGGTTTGGATCCTGCTATATGTGAAATGTGGTAAGAACTGCCCTGTCCGCCGACTACCAGGATTAGTGATAATTTATTAGTCCAATATAATGGGCATGAAATTACACTTACATTCTAAATCTGTGTACCCCTTTTCCATCATAGCAATTCTAAGTAGAAACTAGTCTAAGGGAGCCACTGAATCGGTTGGTGGGAAAGTGTCAGAAACAGACTGGACATTTTCAGTGAAAACTCCTTTAGTCACAAAATTGAGAGCTTTTAGACCTAAAATTCAGAGCTTTCATAACACTATGACCACACATTAAGTAATAGATGTTGTAACATTGATAGTAGCCTAATTATACCAGGAATTATCAAGAGTTTATTATGTTCCAGCCACTTTCTCAAGAGCTTTATGGATTCAAGCTATCCTCACAAGGACCCAAGAAGTAGGGAGTCACTTAACAGATGAGGAGACTACTGCCTTGGGGACCATGTCACTGCTTCCTAAAGACTCCTCTGTCTCACATGGAATCTTTCAGACAGTCCCTTTAATCACAAGTGAGTCTTAGAAATACTTACCGGTTCATCTACTCAGTACATATTTATTGAGTATTACCCAATGTGAATGAACTGGGAATACACATCCACTTTGAAAAAAAGCAAACACAAAACAAAAACACATCCCCTCCTCCACTGAACACTATGCTTCTTCATATGTGCATACAATTAGCAAACTGCAAGTATTTTCCATCTGAAATGATTTAAGGAACTTCACCTTTTTACTCCTCTCTCCTTGTAAACCTCACCAGTGAACGCTTCCATCTACTGTCATATGCCAGTGATTTGGAATGGTCTCTTTAGCTTCCATTTCTTACTTTACTCTGGGCCAAAAATTCCCTCCTGGATTTAACTGAGAAGGTTGAGATGAAGTTGTCTTGTGTATCACAGTAGGAGTAATGTCAGTGCTAAAGAGATCCACCACCATTTCACATCTACAGAGGAAGCTTTTTCCTTCTATAGAATAGGCATACTTTGGTAGACAGCTTTCTGTGCAGAGGTAGATTCCACTGTTTACTTGCAGTTGAAATTCTGTTTTATTTAAAATACGTCCAATAATCAAGCACACCTATCGTGGGTAGAATCACAATGAATGCAGGAAATGGAGAGAAAATCCCCAGTTATAATTTTAATCAGTAATGTCATGTATTTCCTTATTAAGCTTTTTAGAGCTACTAAGCAGTAGAAAATTTTCTCATTTATGTTTTGCCTCCTCTTCTTCCCTCCTCATTTCCTTTAAAAGTAGTTGTCTCACCTACTGTGTGCACACAGTGGGCCAGTACGTGTTATTTTTCCCCACCCCTCATAGAGTTATTGATAGCTCTATAAAGTATCAATGAGACAGGGAAATGGAAAGGAAAAGATGAATATGAGTGGGCCTCACGAGCTCTCGGTTCCCAAATAAACAACTGTTCATGTGAACTATCAGTATTTAATATATTCCTGGGCTCAGAAACATTAATATAATTGTCTTCATTTTGAAATTAAAATTATAGTATTACATAAAACAAGTTTATGGGTTTGTAAATTGTGTCTTTAAGTATTTGAAATATTTGATCCACTTTTAGTTACTATGTTCAGCACATACTGCAAAATCTGTTTTGTATAATCACATGCTGAGTAATGTAAAATATTGTTAAAATATATATTTAAGAAAATGTAATTACTATAAAATCACAAAACGTAATACTTTCAGTTATTAATATTTCACATTTAGACTCTTTAGACTCTTTTTAAATATGTGGACTTAGAAAAGCAAAACAAGTCAAAAATAAAATAGAAGCAGGTGACTTAAAAAATAACTAGGAATTTTAAAATTTCGATATCTCTGAATGGTAACAATTATTGCAAATTTCTTGAAACATTTTAGAAATACTACCTTCTTGCTTCCAATGTAAACATAAAGTGGCAATTTATATTGAAATTCTATTTGATAAAAACTTGTACTTAACCAATGATTCCATGATCACAACTTATATGTATGTAATAGAAAACCCATTTCCTAAGTGAGACCTCAGCTTTTGTGATAATAAACGCTATACCTCCGAAAATGAAATAAAAATCATCTACTTAACATCCACTTAAACAGTCAAAACTAAAATAACCAACCTTAAATATTTACATTTTAAATTAAAGCCAAATTAAGGAAAAACCAGAACTTTTACGTTTATATGAAAATTTAATATTTAAAAAATTATATAAGCTTTTTTTGAAACCAGCTGCTCCAGTCTTTATCACATTTTTCATGAACTAAATTAATGGTATTGTCTATGGCTAATACATGTCTTGCTTTTCTTTTCTTTACTAATATACTTTTAGGTCATTTTAGTCAAATTTACATGTAGCATTTCAAGTAGTAGACATATTTTCCAATTTGATGAGAAAGAAATAGTTAAAGACAAGCTTAATTTAGAGTTTAAAAACTTCCTTGGGTTATAATACCTCTGATCAATGGCACCGTGATGCACATCACAGACTACCGTATGGATGTTACCCTCTGGAGTTATGTAGTGCGTATCCTGTACTGCTAAAAATGACACACAGACCTAACTAATAGACACTTGAGAGGTTAGCCCCAGGGGAGACAAAGTTCCTGGGCATTACACAAGAAACAGTTTGGAGCATCAAAGGAGTAAAAATCCATTCATATTGTGCTCATTGTTCTGACACAGGAAAACAAATCTGACACATATTTTCTATGGAAGCCTTATTTGGAAAGAACTCCTGTAAACATGCTATGGCCTAGATTTATTATGAATGGCATAGTATAGTTCTGACATGAAAAATTGTTTGGAACATCATTAACAAGCACTAGTTTCTGATGATTCAAGGATTCATGTTCTCTCTGTCTCACAATAGTGACTAACTCAGGAATGATGAGCAATGAAGTACTACATTTTTAAACATTTAACAAGAAGAAACAGGAAATTATTAGATGCTAAAATGGTATGTCCCCAATGGGTAGTATCAGTTGTATACATTTGGAATATGAATGGTATAGATTTCACTAAAATATCCTTTAATATGAATGCAGATAAATACCATATACTAATAGTTGTCAAAATTCATTGTATGTAACTCACTTGAGAGTTAAAATGCAGTTTCTGGGCATCACTCCCAGAGATTCTGATTTAGAAGAATGGGAATAGGTCTGGAAGATGTATTTTAATAAGCCCTCCCACATTCCGCATGCCAGCAGCTAGTTCTACCCTCCTATTGTGAGAAACACTGCCATAAACTGAATATAATGGTTGCTCATAGGATTGGCCTCGTTGGGAAGTTTAAGAAAAATATAGATACTTCTCCACATATCCACTACATGGGGGTGAAGTATGGACATGCACAGGTGATGCTACAGGTGATTCTGATTTGCAGCTAGGCTGAAAAACACTGATAATAGAATTAACTTCCATTTGCTGCATATTATTACATGCTTTAATTCACTGATCTATTTAACTTGAGAGACAGTAAAATTTTTAATATTTAGGTCATAAAACTGATAACTTATATATAATATCCATTTCCAGTAAAATGTTTGAAAACTATTTTAATTACAGTCAGCTTGTTTCCCAACACATCCTCTCCTATTTTCTTCAGTCAGTGGTGTTACCATCTACCCAATTTGAGAAGAGACTGTCTAGGTAGTATAACCACTGAGTATGGGCTTGGGAGTGAACAGTCTTTTATTGCCTTACTTCTGCCATTTTCCGTTTGTGCAACACTGAACATGTTAGCCAACATTTCTAAAATAGTAAATATCTTGTAGAGTATTGGGAAAATTAAATGAGATGATGTATGTAAAGTGCTTAATGAAATCTCTGGACCTTGATCAGCCTTTTTACAAGTCAGCTATTATTATCATTCTTAATTCCTTGCTCTTCTCACAGGTAGTCATCATTTTTTGACCCTGCCACTTGTTAATTATCTTGAGTTTTGTCCATTTGTATCCATTCTTGTTGCCACTGACCTAGCCAATATCAACTCTTGCCTACCTGGATTAACACAATTAGTCAAGTTACTCATTTGCTGGCTCACTTGTTCTGCCTGCTGCCAGAGTGATCTAACATTCCAAGTTGAGTCCTGCTCAACTTCTTTAATGTCCAACTCCTGCCCTTGAGATAGTTTGGCCTTCCTAACATGGCTTACAAGATCATCCTCATTTTGGTCCCTGCCGAAGCCTAGAATCTTGTCTCTTTCTACACTTCTGTTGCATACTTTAAGCTCCAGCCATTCATTCTTAGAATATGCCAGACTCTATCTTGGACCAGGTTTATGTATATGATTTCCTTCTGCCTAAACCTACCTCTCCTCAGAGAGTATAACTAAAATATACTCATTCTGTACTTCCTCTGGAAGATTATTCTTCCCCTTGAATAGCCTTAAATATTTTTCTATGGACTTGTAAAGGGACCTGTTCCCTATCATAATACATATCATATTTTATTGTAATTTAATTATTTATCCATTTTAGTGCATTTCATACTGAGGTATGGGGATCTGGATGATTTTCACATTCGTTATTTGACAACTGGGCATTCTATAACTTTTCTTAGTTTTGTGACAATCTATGAAAAGAAAAACACACTCTGGAATAGCTAGATGACTTTGCATTTTAGTGCCTGCATTTTGTTTTCACTGTAAAATACATGTAACCTAAAATTTACCATTGTAACCATTTTTAAGTGCATGGGTATTGGACACATTCATGTTGTACAATCATTACCACCATCTATCTCTACAGTTATTTTCATCTTACAAAACTGCAATTCTATACCCTTTAAGCAATAAGCTCCCATTCCCTGCCTTCCCCTAGCCTCTGGTAGCCACCACTCTACTTTCTGTCTGAGTTTTACTACTTAAGCTACCTCATATAAGCGGAATCATACAGTATATTTGTCTTTTTGTCACTAGCTTATTTCACTTAGCATAATGTCCGTAAAGATCATCTATGTTGTAGCATTTGTCAGGATTTGCTTGTTAATGCTAAATAATATTCCATTGTATGTATATACCGTATTTTGTTTATCCACTTATTTGCCAATGAATGAACACTTGGATTGTTTTCATGTTGTAGCTATTACGATTAATGCTGCTATGAACATGGGTATATAATATCCCTTCAATATGTTGACTTCAATTATATTACTTACATACTTAGAAATCAAATTGCTGGATCATATGGTAATTCTATTTTCAATATTTTTGAGGAAATGCCATACTGGTTTCTACAACCTCTATACTAGTTAACATTTGCACTAACAATGCACAAGAGTTCCAATTTCTCCACATCCTCACCAATATTTATTTTCTGTTTTGCTTGATAGTATCCATCCTAATGGGTGAAAATTATCATCTCATTGTGGTTTTTATTTGCATTTCTCTAATGATTAGTGATATTGAGAGTCTTTTCATGTGTTCATTATCCATTCCTGTATCTTCTTTGGAGAAATTTCTAATCAAGTCCTTTTATACTTTTGAATTGGGTTATTTGTTTTTTTGTTGTTGAGTTTTAGAAATTCACTATATATTCTGAATATTAATTCCTTATCAGATATATGATTTGCAATTATTTTCTCCTATTCTGTAGGTTGCCTCTTTACTCTTGATAGTGTCCTTTAATGTACAAAAGTTTTTAATGTTCGTGGCCCAATTTGTCCATTTTTTCTTTTTTTACCTGTGCCTTTGGTGTCATATTTTCTCCATTGCAAATATAGTGTTATGAAGATTTGGCCCCATGTTTTCTTCCAGGAATTTTATAATTTTAGCTCTTACATTTAGGTCTTTGATCAATTTTGTTAATTTTTTTATGTGATGTTAGTTAAGAGTCCAACTTCATTTTTTGCATGCAGATACTGAGTTTTCCCAACACCATTCACTAAAAACATTATTTATTCCCCATTGAATGGTTGTGTTAGGCCATTCTTGCAGTGCTATAAAGAAATATCTGAGACTGGGTAATTTATAAAGAAAAGATGTTTAATTGGCTCATGGTTTTTCAGGTTTTGGAGGAACAGGTGCTGCCATCTGCTCAATTTCTAGGGAGGCTTCAGGAAGCTTACAATCATGGTTGAAGGTGAAGGGGGAGCAGGCAGGAGCAAATGAGAGAGAATCAGGGTAGGGGGAGGGGCTACACACTTTTAAATGACCAGATGTCATGAGAACTCACTATCATGAAGACAGCAATAAGCCATGAGGGAACCAGTTTCATGATCCAAACACCTCCTACCAAGCCCTGCCTCCAGCATTGGGGATTACAATTCAATGCAAGATTTAGGTGGGGAGGAATATCCAAACTGTATCTTTGGTTTTGGTACTCTTGTGAAAAATCATTTGACCACATAGGCGAAGGTTTATTTTTCGACTTTTCTATTCCATTGATCTATATGTCTGCTTCTGTGCCAGTATCACACTATTTTGATTTCCATAGCTTTTTAGTAAGTTTTGAAATCACAAAGTCCTCCAAATTTGTTCTTATTTTTTCAAAATTGTTTTGGCTCTTCCAGGTCCCTTGAGATTCCATATGAATTTCAGAAAGGACTTTTCTATTTTTGCAAAAAAAAATGTCATTGCAATTATGATAAGGATTGCATTGAATCTGTACATTGTCTTCCATAATACGAACATTTTATCAATACTGTCTTTCGCTCCATGAACATGGGATGCCTTCTTATTTGTTTATATATTCTTTAATTTCTTTCAGAAATGCTTTGTAGTTTTCACTGTATAGGTTGTTAACCACTGTGGTTAATTCCTAAGTATTTTATTCTATTTCATATTATTATAAACAAAACTATTGTCTTAATTTCCTTTGCAGATTGCTCAGTGTTCATGTACAGAAATGCAACGGATATTTTTCTGTTGACTTTGTATCTTGCTAGTTTGCTGAATTTATTTATTAGTTTTAAGACATATTAGTGGAACCTGTAGGGTTTTCTACATATAACATCATATCACCTATAAGCAGAGATAATTTTATTCCTCCTTTCCAAGTTGGATGCTTTTTATTTATTTGTTTTGTTTAATTGCTTTGACCAGGACTTCTAGTAGTATGTTAAATAGAAGTGGTGAATGTCAGCATCTATAATTTATTCCTGATCTTAGAGAAAAAACTTTCAGTCTTTCATGATATTTGCTGTGGGTTTTTTATATATGGTTTTTAGTTGTTGGTGGTTTACTTTTATTCCTAGTTTGCTGAGTGTTTTTATCATGAAAGAGAGTCAAGTTTTGTTGAATGCTTTTTCTTCATCAATTGAGATGGCCATATGATTTTTTTCTTCATTCTGTTAATGTGATGTACTACATTGATCAATTTTTGTGTTGATCATGCTTAAGCCATCCTTTTATTCAAAGAATAAATCCCACTTGGTCATGATGTATAATCATTGTAATGTGCTGTTAAAATCAGTTTTCTAGCATTTTGTTAAGGATATTTGTATCAATGTTTATAAGGGATAGTGGTCTACAGTTTTCTTGCAGTGTATTTGACTTTGGTATCTGATTAATAATAGACTCCTAAAGTGAGGGCATTTAAAGAAGTTCCTTCCTATTAAATATATATTTTTAAGTTTCAGATAGATTTATATGAACTCTCCTTTGGTTTGTTTTCTTTTTCTAATTCAACAACTTATAATGTTGGGTTGTTAATTTGAGATCTCTGTTTTAATGTAAGCATTTGTCACTGTATCACATAAATTTTGGTATGCTGTTTTCATTTTCATTTGTCTCCAAGTATTTTCTGATTTCCCTTGTTATTTATTTTTTGATCCATTGGTGGTTTAAGAATGTGTTGTTTCATTTCCACAGAGTTGCAGGATATTTTCCAGTCTTCCTTCAATTATTCATGTCTAACTTCATCCAAGGATTGTTAGAGAAAATATTTTGTATGATATCTACCTTTTAAAATCTACTGAGATTTAATTTGTGGACTAATATATAAACTATCATGGACAATGTCCCACATGCACTTAGGAAAATTGTGTATTATGTTGGTAGTGGCTGTAATGTTCTTGCATATGTCTATTAGATTTAGCTATTTTATTGTGTCAAGTGCTCTATTATCTTACTTATCTTCTTTCTGGATGTCCTATTCATTACTGAGTGTGGGGCATTGAACTATTACTGTGGAACTGTCTATATCTGCCTTCAATCCTGTCAATTTTTGCTTCATACATTTTTGATGTTCTATTATTAGGTATGTAAATATTTATAACTATTATATATTCTTGCTATATTAAACCTTTTATTAATAAATAATGTTCTTCCTGTTCCTCATAACCTTTTTTGATTGTTTTATTCTCTTTTTTGATTGTTTTAATCTCTTGATTGGAATGTTTAGTCTATTTACATTTAAAATAATTACTGATAAGAAGAAACTTCTGTCCTTTTGATAATTGTTGTCTATAAGCCTTTTAAGATTTTTTGTCCCTCATTTTGTGCATTACTGTCTTCTGTTTTTTTTCTAGTGAAATATTTTAACTATCATTTCATGTTCTCTTGTGTATATTACATAACTACTTGGTTTGTGCTTATGATGGGGATTGATTACATTTGATATATTAAAGTTATTATGCTCTAATTTGAATTTATATCAGCTGAACTTCAATGATATGCAAAAACTGCTTTTATACAGTTTCATCCTCACTCCTTTCATTATCGTTATCACAACATTACACCTTTATACATGTCTGCTCAAAAATATAAACTAATAATTGTTTGCTTAATGCATTTTTCTCTTATATTAAGTAGAAAACAAAATGTAAAATTACCACCAAAGTTACAATAATACTAGTTTTTGGACTAATAATTATTTTTAAAACAATTTATTGGTGTCTTTAATGTAGACAAAAAGTGGAGTTACAAACCATTTTTATAACAATACTAGCCTTTATAAATGTTCATATGTTTACCTGTCCTGAGATATTTATTTCTTCATATGGCTTCAAGTTACTATCTATTGTCCTTTCATTTTACTCTCCAGGACTCCCTTAATAATTTCTTGCACAACAGGTCTAGTAGTAATAAGCTCCCTCTGCTTTTGCTTATCTGGGAATGTCCTAATTTCTTCTGTACTTTTGAAGACTATTTTGCTGGATATAGGATTCTTGGTTGACTTTTTTTTTATTTGAGCACCTTTAAAATTAGTTCACTGCCTTCTGACCTCAAAAGTTTCTGATGGAAAATATGTTGATACTTTTGCTGAAAATCTCTTGTATGTGAATTGTTGCTTCTCTCTTGTTGTTTTAAGAATTTTATAATTGTCTTTGGCTGGCAACAGTTTGATTACAATGTGTCTCAGGAAGAACCATATTTCTTAAGTTACTCATATGTTTATATGCATGTCTTTCATCAAACTTGAGATGCTTTTGGCTACTGTTTTTTCAAATAATCTGTTTTTCTTTCTAGTGTCCTTCTGATCCTTTCATATTGCATTTGTTGGTTTGCTTGAAGATATCCCACCAGTCTCTTAGGCATTGTTTACCTTTTTTCAATCATTTTTTTTCTTTTCCTCGGACATAATAATTTCCAGTGTCTTATCTTCAAGTTCAGTGATTCACTCTTCTGCTTGTTGAAATTTGCCTTTTAGGCTCTCTAGTAAATGTTTTATTTCAGTTATTGTATTTTTTAGCTGCAGAACATCTTGTTGGTTTCTTTTTAGGTTTATATCTCTTTGTTGATATATACATTTTTATATACATTCTTTTCTTGACATTATCCATGTCTTTATTTAGTTCTCTGAGTATCTTTAAGATAGCAAAGACTTTTAGGAAAGTCTTTGTCTAGTAGGTCTGACATCTGGTCACTCTTTCTGGAGAAATTTTTTGTTCCTTTGAATGGGCTATACTTTGTTTCTTTGTATGCCCTGTGAATCTTTTGTTAAAAACTGGATATTTGAAACTAATGATGTGTTGAAACTAGAGATAAAACTTTCTCTCTTTCCCAGGGGTTTTGTTTTTGTTTGTTTTTTGTCTTCATTATGTTTCATTTTTTATTGGCTTTAACATGTCTTCATCTTCATGTCATGCCTGACATGTAAACTTAAGGTCCTCTCACATCTTTTCTGATTCTACACATTTCCCTGACCATGTGCAGTGACTTTCTAATTTCTCTCATACATATCCTGGTCTTTTAAATATCCTGGTCTCTAATGTCTGGCTCTAAAAAGGGGAAAAATAAAAATGAAGGGAGAGTACGAGGCACTGGCCCTTTAGATCCCTTAGTTATTTTAGTCAGAGGGGGAGGAGCTTACAATCATGCAGAAGGAGGGTGTGTGCAACAATAGCTGCCTACCTATGTGTCTGTACTTCTGTGATCAGAGCACAAATTCCCAATACCTGAAGAACAAGGTTCTTTTTGCCCACTCTAGCTGCTGAAACCGTGTATAAACTGCGCCATAAACATGCACAGCTACCTGCAATTTGGTTGGAGGTAGAGGATGGGTAGCCACTGCTGAGCAAAAAACTAAAATTTACTACAATTAACTACAATTTATTGGCAAGACATCTCCTGAAAGCTTAAAGCCTTCAATAGACTTAAAAGTTCCAAAGTATTCATACAAAACCAATCTGCCAATGTGATTGTTGTCTAGGTGGGAAGACAGATTCCTGGTGCTTCCTACTCCATCAACCTATTAGAATCTTCTTAGTACCTATATTTTGCATTGATGCTTATAATGTCATTCCAAATAAATATCAAATGAGGCACAACACATTGTATCAATAAAAGTTTTATGGGAATGAAAATAAAAGTGGTTTGCCTTCTGACATTTTATTATAAAAATTTATAAATTTGAAACATTAAAAAAATTATAGCAAACCCTTACACAGCAGGTTCATAGAATCTATCATTAACATTTTTACAAAAGGCTCTACTCAAATACTAATTCTATAAATTAGTGCTAGGTAAACTTGTGCTGGTAACTTAACCTCCCTGAACCTTAGTACCCTTATCTAGAAAAGGGGGATAAGGATAGTACTTACTTCATGCATTGCTATAACAGTTACATGATATCTATGCAGAGTACTTAACGTAGTACCAGGCATAAGGTAGATATTCAGTCAGCATAAGCTATTGTAATTAGCATTTGTTGAATTAATGTATGAAAACATAATGAGGTTCCTGAAGATGCTCCTTAAAGAATTTTAATAACTTTAGTATCATTTCAGCTACTGGATGAAAGACAGTAGTGTCTTTATTTAAGGGCAAGTATACAGATGAATATGAAAATGAAAATTTTTCCTTAATTAGCTGAGCCAATGTACCTACATAAGAATTGCAGCCCAGTTATTTACTGTCCTGTTTACATGCAATAAAAGGAGGTCTCTGGGTCTCCTTGGATTTTTTCATAAAAACAATTTTAAAAATGGGGGAAATGCTGTACTTTCTGATTTATCAATATATAATGTAATTACTGGCCCTGAGTTTTAGTTGTCTGTTGGAGCAAAGAGGGAGGCAGGTGAAGGCCTAAACTAGGGTGAGACAGGAAATAGAAAAGCCCTGGAACAATCTTGCCAACACAAACTGAGTCCTAAGCCTCTTTCTCTCCCAGGTTCCATTCCTGTCCCTGAGGAGACCAAGGGCATGTGTTTAGGTTAGGGCAAGATAGGAGGTGCTAAGTAGGTCCAGGTGGAATTCTTTAAGACAAACTGGCTTTTTTCCAGCTTCAGGTCATGCTCACATACTTTATACAGCTGCATTGCTGCTTAAAATGCAGCTGGTGTGTTCTCCCTTGTCCAAGAATGGTTTGGACTATTCCTAAAACTTCACGTAAGTGGTTTTAAAAAACATCAGAAAGATGCACTTTGGTAACAAGAAAAAAAAAGAGACAAAAACAAAATATTTCAATATGCTAGAATCACTCAACCATAATTTTAGAGATAGTGTGCAGTGTGGGCCAATTCCTCATTTTTCTTACAGAAGATTACTGTATCATTGATAAATCAGGCTGCACAATTTCCTAGAATAAGCACATTGTATTAGAATATGGGAATCCAGTTTTTATGGTAACTCTCTTCCTCTTACGGGGTCCTTGGTTACATCATGTTACAACTTTGGGTTCAATAATTTTTCTGTGCTTATGCTCTCATAGATCTTATCCAGTTCAAAAATATTATGATAAGTGAACTGAATCTTAGGTCTTTGAAGCTGCACAGTTATAAAATCAGCTTTTCTTTATTTCTCCTATGATGAATAAACATTAGTGAAAAACATTGAATGTACTGAATATTTTAAATACTGAGCAGGCTCCTTAAAGATGTTAATTATTATATTTAAATAGATTTGAAACAAACTACTCTCATCATATGGTGAATGTTATTGTATATATTACCCTTGATCTATCACTAACTTAAATCATATTTTCTGAATTATTTATAAAAATATTTCAAACGTGAATTCATGGAATTTAAAAAAAGGCTTTTCTTGTCAATTCCAAGAAATCCAGTTCTGAAAAGTTTTCAAATGTTAGTGAAGGCTTTTCAGGCTACTTGAATGCACCTGCTTGATCAGACCTTCAACAAAGTATTTTCATTGGCAAATATGTAATTTATGAATAAATAAGAAGTTGGATCCCGAAAAACTGGAATAATAAGCTCAGTGCATTAAAGTATTTGTGCAAAGGCTTGCATGAAGTTTCTACCAAACTTCTGAAAAATTAATTTCACCAAGTCCAAGTGCTTGGGATACAAGGGGATGACTACCTACAGAGGCCTTTTCACACATTGCTACCATCGTCAGCGGTTCTTTTTTATTAGCTCTCTTGGCAGGTCAGCAGGCCCTCAGGAGAGTCCATGGTAGACTTCTTTCAGGCGTGTCTGTGAGTGTGTGTGTGTGTGTGTGTGTTGTGTACTGAGCCAGGGGATGGCTATGCATCCACCTCCCCATCAAAATGTTTCCCCTTGGATGAACAATCCTGCACTGTGAGTACTCTGCAGGTGTCTCTGGGTGTCAGCTGGCCTCTGTTTATTATTCGTGTGCTGTGTACAGGGAGGCCCAGCCGGCCATCAGTAACAAGTCTCTGCAAATGGGTCAAGGAAATGAAAATAAAGCCTGTACAGCAGGAACTTTTAGGGTCTGGGGTTTTGCTGGCAAATCCTGCCCAAGTTCCTCTTTAGGTGCTACTTTAAAATTGCTACTTGTTTGACTTGGACAAGACTTCACATGGAGAGGCTGTGTGAGATTTGCAAAGGGGGGCCCAGCTGGAAGCAGGTGTGCCGCTTTTCATTTTCTCTTTTACCAGGAGAACACATCTTCTGCTCAGTTCTGAAGCATTTCTTTTCTTTAGAAGCTTGTTTGTATAATTCGTTTTCCAAAAATGAGGGAGGTGGGGGTTACTATTAAAGGAGTTAAAAATCCTTGTTTTTCAAACCTATAGTTGAATAAGAAGAAATAAACACTTTTAAAATTTAAAACCTTTTTCTCTTCAACTTAACGTTTTCAGTGACTCAAGAACAAGAATGAAGCTTTCTTATCAAGATTGTTCTGTGATGAATTTCTAAATTATAATGCACAGGAAGGATGGTGGTTTATTTAGTCGGATTACTCATGGTAAAGTGCGTATGAAGTTTAATATCTTAATTACAGTAGTCAATAACAATTTCTACTGAAGGGATCACTACTTTATTCAAGTCACTTAGTGCAATTGTTTTATGATCAATCAGGTCTGTGATCATCTTTGACACTTTTCCTGATAACTACTCTAATAATATTCTGGACCCAGTTCACTACACTTAAAAGGATCTGGTAAAGTTAACAGTGGTTCAGGATTATTGGTCTGGGAATCCTTTAACTGGTGCTCAGTACTTACACAATTTCTCAGTAATGATCTGTGTTATCCAAAATCACAGCTTATATTATTTAAGAAGTTTCTATGTATTATATTCTTAAAGCCTATCATCAGCCATATAACGCTATTCATTCATTTATTCACTCACTCAATAAGCATTAATTGCAACACTAATGTGTGCTGGGCAATATGGCAGGCGAGGAAATGCGGACGCAAAGAGAATGATTCTGTCCCTTTAGCCCCTGTCTGCCCACCCACCACACTGACCCACAGCAACCATAGGCATCCTTTTAAAACACGAGTCAGACCACATGGCTCTTCTGCTTAAAACTACTACAATCCCCTCTGAGGCCTTAATGACCCATCTGGCTCCTCCGTCCCTCCCCACCCTTGGGTCCTACCCCTCCCCTGCCCCACTACGCTCCAGCAACACTGGCCTTCTTGCTGTTCCTTAAACACACTGAGCATTCTCCCCACTTGCCAGCTCTACAAATTGTAGTTGCATATTTCTCTATTACATCCATCTCTCCTTTACTCCTGATCTGATTCTGTTTTCAGTAATCTCTAGCTTTTGTCTCATCTCTTAAATTTCCTAAGGAAAGAGTTTTTGTTATTTCATTTTCTCTCTTGTATCCTTGTGCCTGGAATAGGCTTCATATAGTAGAAATTCAATAAATATTTATTAAATGAATTAATGAATGCATAAAGACCTGGCCTTTGATCTAATTAGAAGGAGATATGTGACTAATCATAATATCATCATGAAAAATTATAGCACTATAGGATGTTGAAATACTTACATACCTGTCTATATTTCTTAAATGTATATCAATATACAAATCTACATAGTATTAAAAGTGTGTTCAGAAGTGAAGGAAAGCAATATTTGTTTCAAGCTTTCTTACTATTTATTTTGGCTGCTGTTCTCTTATCACTTTTCAGACTCTCTGGAGATTAAAAACAAAAACAACAACAACAACAACATAAGAAGGGGAAAAAGGTCTTAGTTTTCCAAGAATATGTAGCTGGTTCTCAAGAACTTTGGCTGGGCATTTAGAACTAATCTTATGAAAATTGCTCCTGAGGCTTTGACTAGTTGCAAGAATGGAGCCCTTTTTAGAGTCTAAACTTAATATAAGGCTCTAAGCTTAATATAAGACTGTTTTTTCAGTCTTATATTAAGGATCTCATAGTACTTACTGAAGCAAAAAGCTTTTTTGGATTTTATGAATTGGGCTGTTCCCCCATTGATCTTTTCAGTTTAGGAAACTAGAAAAAAATTATTAAAATCAGTTTACATAGAGATCGTTATTTTAGCCTAAGTGAATAAATCTATTGCTTCCCTACTTACTCTTTTCATGAGTTATGCAATTTATTCCTCCACATCAGTTAGCATTTCCCCTCCTTTTACTTGTCTAGAAATCAAGTTAATTTTGACCACTTACCTGGCTTATTTGACTTGAAAACTTACTTATGTCTTGTGGATATGGCTAGCTCATTAGTATCACTTTTATCTGATTCCATTCGCTCAACAGTTTCCAAAACCTACCAGTTGATTTAATTCCTCTTTCAGTCAACATTCTTAAGACTCCTAACCAGAAGCCCTAGGTCATCTGCATTCACCAAACTATGCTTGGCCTTTAGTTGCAAATACTTTTATACAAATATTCTACAACTCTCCTGTCACTCTCTTGAAGCCCCCAGATATCACTCTTTCTACTCTCTAAATTTGTTGTTGCTCTGACAGAGTATATTGTCTCTGCTTGAAGCTGTCATAAATCCTACATAGCTTCTTCTGAGGATTCATCACTTAAATGTTATCACTTCCAGCGTTCTCTTGCTTCACATTAAATCTATTTAATATACAATGACTTCCTAATTTACTTAAATCAAAGAAAATCACATCTCTCCAGTTCTCGTTACATTGCATATGTCCATCAATCCTTTTAAGTGATCATCCATCTCATTCTGAGTTACATGCATACACTATTCAAACCCTGCTTATAACACTGAGAAGTTATTTTCTTTTCCAAGATACTCTCAGCTTATCTCCCTTCAATGTGCTTCAGTAAGTTAGGTGTTTCTGATTCTATTCATGCTTAAGTATTCTGTTTAGTAGACTCTAAAATTATTTTGAGATAAATAGTACATTTGCATGGCCCTAGATGACATTTTCATATGACAACTCACTATTTTTAGTGTTTTATGCAAACTGTTATAAATTCCAAATCTGTTTTGGTAGCTCTCTTTGATCTACTTTTTTTCAATTTCATAAAATTATTATACATTCAAATTTCTTTTGGTTAGAGAGGTGAAGGGGGTTTGATGACTTTTTGTATGTCCTTGAAAGAATGTAATACTATCTAATGATGCATTAACAAGAGTGAATGAGTGGCTAATATAAAGAAGATTGTAAAACTTCAATAACTTCACTATTCAAGTAATAGCAAAGGCATTGTCATATAGAGCAGCAGAGCCAAATACAATATAAGAGACCCAAGTACATATAAAATAATCTATTATACAAAGAGGTAGTATTTCAAAGAAAGGGCGAAAGGACAGTTTATTTAATAAAAGCTCTTGGAAAAAAGATGGCAAACTATTTGGAACCAAACAAAACAAAATTTAAACAAAATAATTACTTTCTAAAATTGAAATAAAGATGGCTAAAATATGAATCAACCTAAACGTCCATCAGCTATAGACTGGATAAAAACCTGTGGAATCTATACACCACGGAATACTATGCAGTCATAAAATGGAATGAGATCATGTCCTTTGCAGGGACATGGATGGAGTTGGAAGCCCTTATCCTCAGCAAACTAAGGCAGGAACAGAAAACCAAATGCCGCATGGTCTCAGGTATAAGTGGGAGCTGAATGATAAGAACACATGGACACATGGGGAGGAATTACCACACTCACACTGGGGCTTATCGGAGGCAGGGGGTTGGGGAAGAGAGAGCAGCAGGAAAAATAGCTAGTGGATACTGGGCTTAATACCTAGGCATTGGGATGATCTGTGCAGCAAACCACCACGGCACAAGTTTACCTATGTAACAAACTTGTACATCCTGCACATGTACCTCTGAACTTAAAATAAAAGTTGAAGAAAAAAAAAAAGAAAACTATAAGAGCATTAGAAGAAAATAATGCCACAAGGAGAAAGTTAAAAAGAAACATAGATACAACTAAAAGGTAAAGAGAAATTTGGAAAAAAAAAAGTTGTTTGTACTTACATACAAAAATGCTTTTGAACAAGAAATAATTATAATTGCATGCTATGTGCTAAATTTGTCCTAAATGTGAATCATTGATGATGGTACCTGCTCTCATGAAGCTTCCAGTCTAATGGAATTAAACAAATTTTTATTTTATTAAATATGTATCCACATAAATGAATATCTAGTTAGCATCTGTGAAGAAAGATTGCATGATGACATAAGGGACCAAGGGAATCTAATGTGTATTTTGGGGCCTAGAAGACCACATTAGGGTACTTACATTTGTAATGTAACTTTAATGTATTCATATTGATCTTGTAAAATCTATTAATTTTAATTTATTCATATGTTAATATTAATACAACATAAAATACAAACTTTTAATAGCAAATATAGTATTTATTTATCGGTTTTCATATTAATAATATACTATGTAATATATTCTTAATATATAGAGGCAGAGGGAGAAGCTGACCTATAATGCAGTTGCAATAAATGGCTCAACTAATCCTCTAGGGGCCTGTGGAGTTGGGATGGCCTTCAGAGATGTCCTAATTGAGGCAAAGGGGATAGGCCTTTTTAATGCTTTCTCCCAACCTCACCGTCACTGCATATAGGTTGCCTCCAGGGACACTGCCTAACCTGGGACAAAGCAGCTTATTTTGGCAGAAAGTAATTCTTGGAAGGTATTCAACTTCTTGTAGCAGAGAGTGGCTCTGACCTGAAGGGAAATCCTGGGAACTACAATAGCATGCACTATACCAAGCTTGTCCAACCTGTGGCCCATGGGCTGCATGTGGCTCCCGACAGCTTTGAATGCAGCCCAACACAAATTCATAAACTTTCTTGAAACCTCATGAGGTTTTCTTGCATTTTTTTTAAAGCTCATCTGCTATCGTTAGTGGCAGCGTATTTTATGTGTGGCCCAAGACAATTCTTCTTCCAGTGTGGCCCAGGGAAGCTAAAACATTGGACACCCCTGCACTATACTGATGGTTTCCAGTTGAGAACTACATGCTTTATGTGAATGGGTCATCAAGGGTCCAGAGTCTGAACCTCTTCTTGAATTTATCAATTTTTCCCTTAATGCTGAGAAAATGGGATACACTCACAATAACACAATTTATAAAATAGTGATATGCGAACCAAACTCCAATACATTTATTTTCACTGAGAAATATAGCTGGCATGAGGACTAAAATGTGTTTTCACTGACCACTACATTCTCTGCTAAATTGGAATCAAAATTGACATCCAGAAGGTTTCTTGGTTTGTTTGACATCAGGAGAAAAGTCATTTTCAAATTGAGGGAGTATCACTATATCATTTTCTATATTAAAGGGATTTATTTTCCTTTACTGCTGAAGAAACACTAATAAATCCTTTTTTCTCAAAGTTTTCCAGACTTAACATAGATTTTACATTTTATTTTATCTTTGCTACAGTTCACATATTGGCTCTAGATTTGGAAGAATCTCATCCATAACCATTTACAAATTATCTGCCAGAGTAAGTTGGTTTTGTGAAATATTTGCACATATTTTATATGAATTTTTATTCCAAAGAGGGTATCTGTTTTTTAAATCTTATTCTCATATTTTGATGTACTTTATGAATTTATTGACTTTTCAATTTCTTTGTAGAAATTGTTTCTCAAATAGTAGTTTTATAGAATACATATGTAATAGTTTTCTTTTTCTAGGTTCAAAATATTTTTATCAATGGAATCATAAATCTTTGGAAAGTAGCAAAGCCTGTCTTGTTTTTAATATTACAAGTATTGTAAAAATATTTTATTTCAAAAAATTATTTATTTTACAGTTTTCTATAACAACCCTAGTTCAATTCCTATCCTAGAGAGAAACATCATTAAAAATGTGGGGTATCTATTTCTAGCCCTTTACTTACGCATTCAATTTTATACATACGTACATATACATATCATTTAAACATAATTGTGATCATAATTTATATATCATTCTGCTGCTTGCCTTAATTCATTTTTATGTTTGATTTGGAGATTATTTCAGGGCTCCACAATATGCTTATAACAAATTGATGAATACAGTATGTATTTTACTGATACATTTAATTAATTCATATTTTTTGTGATTGGTAATATGTTTACTACCTTATATTTCCTGTCATTTTATTAACTTTTAAACTAATACCTCATTATTCTGTGCCGCTTTATTATAAGCACAAGTACTTCCTACTTTCAACACTGTTTACTGTGTTCAATGTCATATTCTGTCTTAAATTTATTTCATATTGATGGTATACAATTTTTTATTACAGTAAATGTAAGTAATTATAATAGAAAGGGACTTAGTAACTTTCTGAGACTTTACTCTGAAAATTGTTTCACACTTCATTGCACATACACACACACACATGCATATATAAGCTGAATATATATATACATATCTCAGCTTTTAATTTGGAAATTTATTTTCTTCTTTTTTTTCTTTATTTCTTTCATTGAATTTTTCTCAGTCCTGTCATCTAGAACTCCTATTGGACAAACAGTAGTACTTGTAAATTCATCTTTTATATTCTGGCTTTTCTTTCATATTTTCCATCTCCATGTCTTTTTTGTGCTACATTTTAGGGATTAGTTTGTTCTTCCAGCTCTGTTTGTTGAGTTTGGGACTTTTCTTTGGGTATCGGTTTTCACCAAATGTTTGACAGGTTTGGTTTATTTGTTCTTATTCATACTTGATAAATGCCTTTGGTGAATATAGGAGCTGACTGCATTGGTCAATTTCTTGTGATGGCTGTGTGTCTATGTGTTTTGGGGTTTATATCCCTTTAGGCACTTCCCTGATATCTGGGTCAGAATTTTCAATGCAGACTTTACCTGGGGACCAAATTTTGTTTCTTAATTCTTTTTTTCCTTTGTTTGTCCTTATGGAGATAAGAGGTTACCTCAGGCTTTACTGTGCTTTTATTTTTCTAGTGCCAATATTCACTCGGGAGTTTTTCTCAGCCAAACTTTTTTTTTTTAAGACATAAAGATTTTTATACCTTTATTTTAAATTAATAGCTGAAAGCAAGTAAAAATAACTAATTTTGCTAAATACTCCAATGAAGTATTTTGAATCACATACTCAGAGTACAAATTAGTCAGAGACATTAAAATTATTCCCAAATTACGGAGTCTTAGAAAAAAAGAATCATACGAACACAAAAACCCACTAGGGAGTTGATTTCTTGCATATTTTTCTATGGAATGTGTGCTCTGGCTCAAGTATCCTCCTTTCACTGAAACTATCTAACGGCCTTCAAAACCCACTATAAACATGGAAAAATGCCTTTAAATGGCTTTACTAATGACATTATGATACTCATGTCCATCTGTGTTTGATACAAATGCCAGCATCAAGTACATTTTCAGAGCATGAAAACAGGCACGTGCTTTTAACAAGTTTGTGGGGTTTCTGAGTAACATGTGTGAACGTCTCAATAAACATTTTGAAGGAAAGAACATAATTAGCTCATTTGTTTTAGGGAAGTGATGAAGTGTAATAGAGTTCAACCTGTTCAAACACACTTGCCAAAATTTTAAGAAGTAGTCTTCTACTTAGAGCTTTGGGAAAGAGTAATGATGGAGGACATAAGAAGAAAAATTATTGCACTAAATAAAACTTTCCAGTACTTTTGAGAATTAGCTAACATATAAGCAATCATAGCAGGTTGGAAGATGTAGAATAATATACGTTAACTCTTTAAAACATAATTTATTAGCTAGAAAAGAAAAAACTCAGACATTCTTTATTTACCAATAATAATAAATACAGAAAATAGATGAAACAAATTTCACGATAATGTAAGGACTTTTCAATTATTCCTTCAAAATACTGTCTTTTGTTTTTTTCCTTTTCTGGATAATAAATTATATCAAAGTTTTTACTGCATCAGGATTTGCCCTTCAATCTGTATTTACACATTTGGCAAGGATTTGATGGTGTTATTTTTGTTTGTTTTATAATTCTTGTTACAGCTTGTCACATATATAATTTCCTCACCCAAAATTTATGTTTAAATGAACTTTGGTTTCTTAAACTTCTGAATTCTGTGTGAATTGAATCAGTCTTCATGTTCTGTCTCATTTGGTACAAATATAGTCAAGGAGCCATTGTTTTTATTCACAAGCCCCGAAGCCTTACTATTTGGACAAGATACCTGCTTTCAATAATTATATTAGGATCAACAGAAAAGGATGTCCTTTCTGTAAATACATATG
Organism: Homo sapiens; assembly: GCF_000001405.40. Classification (NCBI taxonomy): domain Eukaryota; kingdom Metazoa; phylum Chordata; class Mammalia; order Primates; family Hominidae; genus Homo; species Homo sapiens. The sequence continues at coordinate 80,813,479 of NC_000004.12, read as the reverse complement.
AAGAATTACTTTGCCCCATAGTTTAATATACAACTCTCCTGATTTTTACAAAAAATGTTTTGAATAATCTAATATAGTTTTAAGAATTCACTTCTAAACTCCAGAAAAAATTCCTTTTTTCTTTGTTTGTGAAAATTTTCCTTTCAAAAATGTAGTTGTTGAGTGCTAGAATATTGCTTCTAAATTTACTGTGCCAAAGGCTCGAGATAATTTTTCTTATACATTTAATGACATTCTAAACTTTGATAATATAAACTATTTTCTCTGTGCAAATATGTGTGTTTTCATTAAGTATATAGATGTTTACGTGCATATCAACATTTGTGCATATAGGCAGAAAAAGCATTTTATATGTCTACTGGACATTATATCCTAATATGTGAAAATAGTTTCAAATTGTTCTATTACAAAGTGTTCAGCTAAAATATTTTCAAGTTTTAAAGCAATGCGCTTTTTCTCTTCTGACTTAACATTTTTTGAAGGTTGATTAACAGAATGCTGTAATGAAAAAATAACACTTCATGTGAAATTTCAATAATCTCTTGCAGAAATGTCCATAGATGTCAATGAATGTGCCTATAAATCCTATTAGTGATGTCATTAGATCCAAATGTAAAATATAACATGCCTTGTAATAAGTAATATAGAAATCTCAACCATATTTTAGCCAAGCTTTGAGATAAAGTAATATGAAAACTATTTACATAAATTGATCAACTAAAGTATTTCCTCTGTAGACTTTCCATTTTTAATATGAATGCTCTGTGTTTCCTAAGTGACAGTTTTTATCAGTTTGAAACCAATGTAACTCTATTGACGCTAATTTGACCACCTTGGTTGTCTGCACTAGACTGCAAGTTCTACATTAGTTCATAAAGCTTAAAAGGTTTTCAAGCCCTATGTAGTATCTTGGAGATGGTAAGTGGTTCAATTATTACTTAGTAAGTAAATAAATGAAATAAATGAAAGCAGCTTTTCATAATACAGTTTAGTGCTTCTAGCACTTTTTAGAGCCTCCTTCTTAATCTTAAGTGTCATCTCATCTGATAAATTTTCTTTATTCAATCCTAGGATAAGGGAGGGGACTCTCTTATGTGTAATGTTAGCCCTTGGCATACAAACCTCTATCAAAACACTTGTCACCCTGTAGTTTCACAGTGTCAGTGTGTGCACCCACACCTGCAGTCTCATGGGAGGCAGGGACTGTGTCTGCCAGAGAAGCTATGGCACATAAGAGTTGATCAAAATTCAAGAAGATTGGGAGGCAGTTAATTCTAGCTGTGATTCATTGGTCAACCTATCCTCCTGAGTATAGATCACAGACACATACTATTCACCATTTTTACAAACTTACTTTTTGGAATTTTAGAATATATGAATACTAATATATGAATACTGTTTGTATTCATATATTCTAAAATGCACTTCATTTCCCACTGTTGAAACTACGTGTCCGCTATTGTAGTCCTGTTTCACGTGACCATTTTGGCTTTTAGCTTCTTTTTCTTTAAAATCCTTCCTCAAGCTTATATCTCTTTATATATTGCATTTTATGTATTTATTACCTCTTCTCATATTCTCGTTTTATTCCAGACTTGTTTAGTTCCTTGTCTCTCCAAATTTTTCCCTCTGTGTGTTTCATTGTGCTTTTCTATCTTTTCTCTTTTTTGTCCAGTTATGTCTCTGGGCCTTCAGTTTTACACCAAGATTAACCTCCCCACGTCTCAAGTGTCAGATGCCTTATCTTCAATCTTTGAAGTCCTTTACAACTGACTCTCCAGCAATGCAGCTTCTCAACTCACTGCCCTTTGAACACAAAGCAGATACAACTGACCAGGTAGTGGTAGGATACTTCCCTGAGTGGCCACAAATTTGTGAATCAGCCAGCTGTGGTAAAAGGGACAGTCTGTAGCTGCAAAACAGAGAGAAACTAACCAGGCCATAAAGGAGATCAAACCCGTGGCCTTGGCCATGGTTGTTAAAGCACTAATTATTAACAGCTCAATGAGACAGTCACCAATACACCCATCATATTAACTAGATGGCAAATTCGGGATACATTTTTTAGTTATATAAACACTTTCATCTAATGAATTAATGTGAGAAGCAAATTATTACCATAGCTAATCACAATTTATAGAACTAAACCATGTTTAAAAGATACCTACACTATGATGACCACAGAGTAAATAGATTAGGTATATTTCTTTTAGAAATAAATTTTTGCAATGAATATTGGGTACATATGCTTCTTGGTATCAATGTTACATATCACTGAAAAGTTGCTATTATTTTAAATATACAAATTGAATATTAGACATATCTTGGTAAAAGGTTGTTGTGATTTAAATTAATTATTCATAATGTTTAAGGTGGTTTGGATAAACCAACTGGCATTTATAATAACCTACACTACTGAAGTTATTGTAAAGGGTATAAACTGTGTAGGGTCAAGTCTTCATTCTCACAAAGTTTATATTCTTGCTGTGGAGACAGACATATGCAGGTACAAAGAAAATAAGACAAGAAGGTAAGAACCACATGAGTGGGGCAGCTGGCATGTTTTGCTGAAGGTTCAGAACAGGGGATGTTGCATCAGGCTGGAGTGATTTAATCAGTGAAGTGTTCACCATATATGTTGGATCTGAACTGAGTTTTATAAGATGCATGGGATGATGCTCACATATTCGTTTCCTGAGCCTGCTATAACAAATTACCACAAACTGTGTGGTTTAGAACAACAGAAATTTATCATCTCACAGTTCCTGAGGCCAGTAGTCTGAAAAAATATGTGGGCATGATTGGTTCCTTCTGGAGGATCTAAGTAAAAAACTGTTCCCTGCTTTTATCCTAGCTTGGTTGCTGGCAATTCTTGGTGTTCCTTGGTTTATAGATGCATCCCTCCAGTCTCTGCCTTCATCTTCACGTTGCATTCTTCTCTGTGTCTCTCTGCATCTTCTCCTCTTCTTAGAAGTGAATTGATGTAGGGCTACTGTAAATCCAGGATAATTTCATCTCAAGATTCTTAACTAATTATATATGCAAAGACCCTATTTTCAAATAAGGTCACATTCTGAGGTTCAGTATAGACATGAGGGGTGTGTATGTGTGTGTGTGTGTGTGTGTGTCAGGGGTTGGGGGGCACATTATTCAACCCATTGCAGATGGGTATGTTAATGCACACCTAAGCAGAGAATCTGATTAAGTTCCTTCAAGGGCTGGGTAGGGAACGTTAACAAATATGAATAGTATGTTGTTAGTAAGATCATTCTAAAAAATACAGAAATTCAAAAAATAATTAAAACATTGCTTGTCAGACAATACACCTTTGTAAGAAAAACTCATCTGGAAGATTCTCAGTGTATTTCTTCCAATAAACAACAAGAACACTAAAAATAGCTATTCAATTTTTAGTGTTTACTTATGTTCCAGGCACTGTTATAAGTGTTTTACATATATTATTAATATGTTAAAATTTCACCGCAACCCAAAAACAAGGACATTATCACATTCACTTTATGGGTAAAGATATTGAACCTCAGAGTTGTGAAACCACTTATTTCCACTGATGTATCTGGTAAGTGATGTGGCTGGACTTCAAACCCCCAAAAAATTGTTTTGAGGAGGTCACAGGCAATTTCAAACTACATTGATGTCACATTTTAGGAAGGGATACAGCTAGAAGAGAAAGTGGGGAAACCCTTGGAGGTTCGGGACAGCCAGGTAAGGAAACCTGGTCTCTGTCCTGTAAGGGATGGGAGTCACTGAAGTTTTTGAGAAGATGTGTAACATCATGAAAACAGAGAATTTGTAAATTTGCACCAATGACTAGTGTTCAGAATATATTGAAGAATGTGGATTTGAGGCTTCTGCAGCAAAAAGCCTTTGCAACAAATAGTCAAGGGGTGATAAGGGCCTGCACTAGGGTGGTGGCAATTATGACTCATTTTCAACATGTGCTAGAGGGATTAATCCTGGCTGTGTAGACACCTTTCTCTCCCTCTCTCTGCCTTTCACAGAATGCAAAGGGTCTCTTTAAGCCATTAAGAAAAAGTATAAAACATCATCACCAAACACTTGCATGGTTTATTCTGTGGAAAATTTACTTACTTAAAAGTTTCACCTTTTGTCCCCTAGATTGAAACAATGCAATTCTCCTGTTCCCACCCGAAGGATTTAGCTATAATACGCTATCAACAAAATCATGAGTGATCCCTTCCCATATAATTATAGGGTGTGCCATAGTGCAGATGTCTCCATGTAAAGTAGGAGTAGCCTGCAATTAGCCAGAAGAATTCTGCAGCAAATGTGGTTAGAGGCAAAAGGTTTACTCTAAATTAGATAGCCCCAGCTATAAATAGTTTGTTGGCTTTTTTATTTTTTGCCTTTATCAAGGACATCTTTGCTTCATCTGAGCACTTTCTGCAAAATAACCTTGCAGCTATGGATGCCATATGCAAAAGCTGTTTTTGCTTTGGATTGGTTTCTCCCTACTTAAGATGGTCTGAATAATCCCTTACGAAAATCTCTCTGCATTTTCTCTGCATCTGGAAGATATGCATATAAATTTATAATGCTTATGTGAGGCATAAGTCAGTGGTTAATCCATCTGATCGTAAATCATGGGACTATGTACCATGACCACATTAAGACTGAACCACAAATAAAAAGGGAGAATGGGCTCTAACCTATAATTGTGGCTCTCAGAATCGAGACCCTCAAAAGAATGCAGTCCTGAATGTGTCACATGTAAGAGATGCTTGAAAAATCACATTAGTTAATGCCTAACATGTGCAGCACATGGAATAGCAGGTTAGTAGTTTTTGAAATGCCTATTTTATGAAAAGATAAAAAGGATCACTATATACTCAATACAAAGGCACTATGACTCACCATGTAACATATACTGAAATCAAAGACCTCCACTTCACAAAATTCAATAAATTCCCCTTAGGTCAGAATTAAGAATGTATTTTAGGGCATTTTGGAAGCTATATTTGAATTAAAATTAAGCTGAACATTTCTTTGTGAAATTATGGTGCTGATTGGTAGAGAAATAATATACAGATCAACATCACAGCGCTATGTTTAGTATTTCAGGCTAAACTAATATTTCTACCATTTTGCATGTAAATCTTCTCAAAAAGTTTGCATAGGGTAGCAGCATGTTATGAAGGCAGATTCTTTCTTCAAATGGAATTCTGATTAGTAACCAAAATAACTGAATAAACATGGTTTTGTCAAAATGGTCAACATATTCATTTTAGAAATTAGCAGTCAAATTAACTGGTTTAACTTGATATTTCACTATTTCGGTATCAAAATGAAAAACTGAAATGTAACTATATGAACTTTTGAATATTTACAAATACAATTTTTAACTATGTTTAACTTTTTAAGGTTCTGTATCATAAAATAAAATGCTTAATTTCCCCTTTGTTTTTTTTTTAACTCTTCACTAATAGTGTTTAAATTGCTCACATGATATGGATAGTTTATTTTCTTGGTTTTCTCTGTTTGTAGCAACTGCATGTAGAGTTACTTTAAGAATTTTAGAAATAAAACAGTGCAAGCAATGATGTCCCCTTACCTCCTCCCTGCCCTTTAATTATGACACACCTTGAAATGGGTTATGATGTTTTTACTTTACATCACACATTATTAATAAACAGAAATACTTTAGCATGTAAATTTTGAAATGTCTGAAAAATGTCATCAGTTGGAGGAATATATAGTAAACCACGATCAGATTTTTTATATAAATGCATTTTATTATATTTATTCAATGTGAAAGCACTTTTTAAACCAGTTAGAGCAAAACAACAGCATCTTTTCAGGATACTGTGCCATGACCTAGGGTTGAAAGGTACCAGAGACCTTTATTAAAGATCAGCTTTTAAGAATATATTTTTCTACCGAGTATATTTATTAAGAGTTGATACATTTTACATATTTGCATTTGAGTCATTGAGTTTTCTAAAGCATTAAATAAATGTCTCTGAATAGTTTCTGACCTTTCTCTGGTACCTTTTTGTGATAATCTAAAACGTGTTTGGTATGGCATAGTGAAATATCTGTTAATTCCTTCACTGCCAGCAGATGAGTAGATTAATTTTTATCACAATGTATTCCGACGTTGTGATTCATGAAATGGTTGTACATTTACAACATATATCATATGTTTCATTTTAAAAATATTTTTGTTTAAAATATTTGGCTTTATCTGTAGGCAAAATTATATGCCAAAGTGTACTGTATTTATCACCCTTATTATACATTTCCTAAATAAGTTTTTATATTTGAACTTCTTTCCTTAATAAGTTTATATATTCAAAGAAAAAAATCATTTCTTTAACCTGCAGATTTCTGTTCATTCAGGTAGATAATTTGATTTCAAGAAAAGCAGTGCTTAGTGCAACTTTATATCTGTAAACCACCATGCTTCAGCTGACATTCTTGACAGTTCATGAATAAGCCCAAAGGTAATTCTTTCTCATTTTCAAAGCATACTTAATATAATCAGGTCTATAATTTTTCAATTATTAACAGAAAAACTAACATCTTTAAATGGTTAAAAATTAACAAGATACATACTAGAGATGTCCTGGGATTTTCTACTGTCTAACAGGATTTAGCTTTTCTTAATTTCTTGCCATCTAAGAAAAAAGGGGTGCTGTGAATAAACAGATACTGTGGCACCTCCATCTACTTCAACGCCTTTAAGAAGGCTGCCACTTTCACCAGCAATGCCTAGCACCTCCTTGCTGACCCAGCAAATTCCAGTTCATTTTTCAAGTCCCACCCTAATTGTTCCACTTTCTGTTGTTTGTGTTGACATTTTGCAATAATAGGAATGAATTGTCTTTTCCTTGAAATTGCAATGACACTGCAAATTGAATTCAATAGGGCAGGGATGTTTGCTGGTTTGTTTGTAATGTACCTCTAGTGATTTATCTCTAGAATAATAACTGGCTCATGGTAGAAGGCCAATAAATATTTGCTGAATGAATCTCTCATTGCAGATTTCTTAATTATAGAGTGTTTCACATTATATTTTGGTTCTGTATTTGACTGTCAAGCTCTCCAAGTACACCTTCACAACTCCAGATCCTAGCTCAGAGCCTGTCAGACAGCAGGTTTTCATTAATTATCTAATGGCTTGATGTTTGGTAACATGAATTTAAAAAGCAAGCAAAGTATCTTTGTCTGAAATTGTAAACAGAGGTAAAATATGGAGAATTATGGATTAATCCCTTTAATAGGACTTCATGTCAAATGATAACATAGTCTGCTCATCCATAAGTAGCACATAATTCTCCATTTTTAATCATGAAATTAATCGGGATGAATATTTATTTACCTTATTTTTAAGAATACATAGAAAAAAGTGAGTTCACAATCTCTCTTAGTTGCTATTGAGTACATTATTGTTCTGTCATTTAAGATATCTTTCTTATAGCTAAGTCATTATTATTTTACATGTTATTAATTCCTATAATCCTGCCATAGTATATTATGAAATCCTTGAGTGCAGAGATATTCTTTCTTCATTGTTTTAAGACAGTGTCTTTTTTATTTTATTTTAATTTTTTAAATACTTTTTTGAGACAAGGTCTCTCGCTCTCTCAGCCAGGCTGGAGTGCAGTGGCACGATGTTGGCTCACCGCAGCCTCAACTTCCCAGGCTCAAGCGAGCCTCCTGCCTCACCCTCCTGAGCTGCTGGAGCTACAGGTATGTACCACCAAGCCCAGTTATTTATTTTTATTTATATTGTTTTTATTTTATTTTTTTACTTTTTGTAGAGATGAGGGTCTCCCTATGTTGCCCACGCTAGTCTTGAACTCCTGGGCTCAAGCAATCCTCCTGCCTTGGCCTCCCAAAGTGCTGGGATTATAAGCATAAGCCACTGCACCCAGCCCAAGATTATTATATTTATTTGTACTCCAAGAGTTTTAGTGTACTACTATGTTCTGAGTAGGTGTTCAAGTTAATTGCTACTTCATTTGTTAAATGTATTTGCTTCAATTTAAAATTATTTATTTTATGAATGAAAGTGATATAGTTCCTGCTTTGATAAAGCATTTAATTCAGTGGAAAAAATACCTATTTATTTCACTTTCCTCTGAAGTTTTGTGGTTCCTTTCTTTTAAATTATGTGTGATGACAAAAATTTTACTCTGATAAGAGAGTTACAAAGAATATAGTGAAAATTTGTAGAAGTGACTTTTATCTCTCTCAATATTATTTATAATAGATTTCATTCTCAAATTTTCTTTTAAATATAAAACCTAAATATTTCTTCCTGATTTATGCTTGTGTTCTCAAAATAAAAATTTCAATAAAGATAATGAACAGTGTAGCTCCTTTTGCATCAATTTTATATTTATAAAATGGAAATTATAATAATGCATTTAATGCCCATGATAACCACAAAGAAAATAGCTATAGAACGTACACAAAAGGAAATCCCAAAGGAAATTAAATGATTCACTCCAAAAAATCAACTACACAAAAAAGACAGTAATGCAAAAAATGAGGAACATAAAAGCTATAAGGCATACAAAACACATAACAAAATGACACCAGTCTCTCCTTATCAGTAATTACTTTAAATGTAAATTGATTAAACTCTCCAGTCAAAAAGACAGAAATTAGCTGAACAGATAAAAACTCATTATGTAATTAATCCTATCTGTAAAACTCATTTTAGATCCGAAGACACAAATAGATTAAAAGTGATAAGATGGAAAGAGACATTTAATTCAAATTATAACCAAAAGAGAGGAGGGTAGCTATACAAATATCACACAAAATAGACTTTAAATAAAAAAGTTTATAAGAGATAAAGTTATTACATATCGAAAACAGGATCTCAAAGAAATATTTGTATACCCATATTTATAGCAGCATTATTCACAATAGATACAATGTAGAAGAAACTCAAGTGTCCATTGAAGGATGGATGGATAAGCAAAATGTGGTATAAACATGCAATGGAATATTATTCAACCTTAAAAAGAAAGGAAATTCTGACACATGTTACAACATTAATGCACCTTGAGGATATCACACTACGTGAAACAAGCCAGTCACAAAATGACAAATATACCAGATGATTCCACTTATATAAGCTACTTGGAATAGTGAAATAATAGAGACAGAAAGTAGAATGGTGGTTTCCAGGGGATAATGGGAATTGGGAAATGTTGTTTAAGGGTATAAAATTTCAATTTTACAAAATTAAATGAGTTACGTAGATGGATGGTGATGGTTGTACATTGTGACTATATTTAATACCACTTGCTGTGTTCTGAATGTGTCCCCCAAAATTCACCTTGAAACAATCTCTAATGCAATAGTATTAAGAGATGGAGCCTTGAGGAGGTGCTTAGGTCATGACAGCGCCTCCACCTCCTTCTTGAATGGGATTACAACTTTTATAAAAGAGGCTTTACACAAAGCCCTTTTGCTCTTCTTTCTTCCACCATGTGAGGACACAAGAAGGTCCTCACCAGACACTGAGTGATCTTGGATGTCCCCCAGAACCTTAAGGTATAAATTTCTGTTCTTTATAAATTACCAGTCTTGGTATTTTGTTGTAACAGCACAAACAGACTAAGACACCACTGAACTATACTCTGAAAAATAATTAAGACGGCAAATTGTATGTTATGTGTACCTTACCACAATAAAAACGTTGCAGAAAATATAATATTTTATAGATATTTAGTTAAATAAAATATATATTATACATTATATTAAAATATAATGTAGTATATTCTGTATATTAAATAATAAAATTAATTTTACTAGCTTTTATTCTTCTTTTTGAATATGGTTACTAGAAAGTTTAACGTTGCATATGTAACTGGTGTCATGTTTCTATTGGAGGAAGCTGGTCTATAAGATAAATGTAAACTTCCCCTTGCTCTAACTTTCACTTTCCTCTTCAACCTCTTAGCTGGGCTTTAGATGTGCCTTTGATCTAGCTTATGATCCAGTTTGGTATACACCCTATGATCCAGGCTGTGAAGCTTTTGTACACAGATTTTGAAATACCTTAATATTTTGATAATAATTCTTTCAATTATTAATTTCCTCAACAAAATCCTAATAATGTTTCAAAATACATTTCAATAGTTTCTTTGTGAGATCTTCTCTGATTTACCCAGGCAGCATCAGCCACTTTGTTGATGATGTTTCTGTATCTGTATGTATGTTAATAATTACCCTTATTGCACTGTATTGTAATTATTGGTACACATCTAATTCCTAAAAGAGGCTTTGAATTCTCCCACAAGCCTAGATTCACTTAAATGTTTGTGGAATAAGAAAAAACATAAATGGAATTTGGAGTCGAACAAATTTGGTTTGAATTATCTTCCCATCACTGATGAGATATGTGAATTGGAAAAATTTATTTAAACTCTAATATACAGTTGATGAAAAAAGTTGAGCTGAATCCCTATTTATTCTATTGCATGATGTTTAACCCTACTTTTGAAAGTACGTCATTTATATGAGCTTCCCTGACTTTTAACTTTTTGTCAATAAAGTACAGCTGTTTCCAGGTTCTAATTTAATGTTAATGAGAGATTTCACTATAAAGGAGTTACTAAAATTTATACAAGTTAGTAATGCAAGTGTCACAATATGGAATGCAATTTCTTACATATTGTATTATTGATGGTGCAATTTTTAAAATGTATGAAATTTACCAAAATTAAATGGGCACTACTTGTTTATACTTCAGAAAAATCGAGAGAAACACAAATACTCTCTTTCAAATTATGCTTAGTGAAGGAGATAGAAAGCAATGAAAAAGAGGCAGGATGAGACCTATTTCAAATATTGATAAGTTTTCCAGAATTTCTTCTATATACTATAGGTTTCAAATATCAAATACTTTTTGATGGCAGAAAGAATGGAGTGTATTTGGGAGCTTCTAAGTTGGTGGAGGGAATGTCTGAAGTGCTCGTAGATGACAACTTATGAACTGACATCATAGCAGCTAATAATGAAAGCATGTTAAAGGCATATACTAGAGAAACCATAATTCTATGGTTCTTTTAACATGAAATGTGTTAGAATGAGAATATGAAGTGAAAAGCAGTAAGATAAATACCACTACTCAAAGCACCCACACACTGCTAAAACAATATATTTTGAGTAAAGCCAGGCCTCAAAATGGGTAAGACTTAAGTATTCTAAAACCTCTGTCCCATTGCATTCAAAATACATTTTAAAATGATTGTTTACTCTCTCTATCCATCCTTGCAATCCCTGCAAATAGTCTTTCTTTTGTAAAATACACCAGGTGTTTGAGATAAGAACGTTTTCAAATATTTTAATTAAAATGATAGGCAAAACAATTATATTTAGACAATTTTAAACTAATTCATTTTGAAGGTTTAAATCACGTTTTGAAAAGTAGAGTGTTTTGTTCTTTATGCCAATTAGTGACTTCCTGCTTCAACAGAAAATGGCTTTTTAGAGACAAAACAACATGTTTCTCTGACATCAGAAAGTGCTTGCAAAACACTGTTGTGCTGAATTAGTTGAAAATAAATAAAAAACTTAAGGATTGCATTTCTACTGAACTTTACAGGAGCTTGAATGTGAGAAAGCAGAGTGCGTTGGGCAAAATGGGTTTTAAATTTTACTTAATCCTTCCTTGTGAAAGCAAAGGTGCCTCGTTTTGCATGGAAATTTGCCTTTTTCAAAGTGATCAACAGCTTATTTTGTTTTTCTTTATCTTTCTTCCCAATTGATGCCCTTAACTGTACAGAATTTGAGGAGGATCTGCAAACACCATAGGTAATAAGTGGAATACGATTGACTCACCTGTCGTGATTTCTTCTAACCAACAGTCAGAAGAAGCAGAATATTCTGATTTAATAATTCATAAAACTGATTTGATCAAATACTTTAAGATACAGCCTTTATTCTCTCTTATATATGTGAATTTAAGAAATAGCTTATCAGCAATCAACAATTTTCCTAGTAATGATTGGCAATGCATTTTTCCCTTTATTTGAAGTTGTTCTTCCTAGGATATTTCACTAAAATTTTTAGAGTAAGATGACAGCAAAAGATACCCATTTTATTGATAAAAATTAATACATCATTATATTTGTGTCAATCATAGATTCCATTCCATAATGCTTTCTTGGGATGTGGATAACCCCTTGCAGGTAGAAAGTTATCAAAACCATGAATATTTGAGAAACTGTGTGTTCTTAAATTGTTAAATATATAAAAATCTATATGTTCAAAAGGTTAAAAAAAAAAAAACCATAGTGTGATGGTCAGTACTGAGTGTCAACTTGATTTGACTGAAAGATGCAAAGTATTGATTCTGGGTGTGTCTGTGAGGGTGTTGCCAAAGGAGATTAACATTTGAGTCAGTGGGCTGGGAAAGGCAGACTCACCCTTAATCTGGGTGGGCACAATCTAATCAGCTGTCAGGGCAGCCAGTATATAAAGCAGGCAGAAAAACATGAAAAGGCTAGACTGATCTACATCTTTCTCCCGTGAACAGATGCTGCCTGCCCTCAAACATCAGACTCCAAGTTCTTCAGTTTTGGGACTCAGACTGGTTCTCCTTGCTCCTCAGCTCTCAGCTTGCAGATGGCCTATTGTGGGACCTTGTGATCATGTGAGTTAATACTTACTAAACTCATATATATATATGTATACATATATATATATACACACACACACACACACACACTGATTATATATATATACACATATGGACTCATACATAAAAACTCATATATAAATATATATAATATATCATATATTTATATTAATATATCATATATATATTAATATATTATATATTTATATTAATATATTATATATTATATATTTATATTAATATATTATATATTATATATTTATATTAATATATTATATAATATATTGATATATTATATATTATATAATATATTATATATTATATATTATATAATATATTATATATTATATATTATATAATATATTATATATTATATATTATATTAATATATCAATATATTATATATTATATATATTATATTAATATATCAATATATATTATATTAATATATTATATATTATATATATTATATTAATATATCATATATATTATATATTATATATATTAATATTAATGTATCATATATCTTATATATTATATATATTAATATATTATATATTATATATATTTTATTTATATAATATATATTATATATTATATTATTTATTATATATTATAATATATATTATATATTATATTATATAGTATTACATATTATTATATATTATATGTATTATATATTATATAAATATATTTATATAATATATTTATATTAATATCTTATATATAATATATTATATATTATATATATTTATATTTTATTTATATAATATATATTATAGCATTTATTATATATTATTATATATTATATATAATATATATTACTTATTATATATCATAATATATATTACATATATTATATTATATAAATATTATATTTATATAATATTTATATAATATAATATATAAATATATATATTATATATTATATTATAATATATAATTTATATATTATATAATATAATATATATAATATATATTTATATATTATATAATATAATATATAAATATATATAATATATATATTTATATATTATATAATATAATATATAATATATATATCATATAATATATTTATATATTATATATTTATAAAAATATATATATTTATAAAATATAATATATAAAATATATATTTTATATATTATATATTTATAAATATATATTTATAAAATATAATATATAAAATATATATTTTATATATTATATATTTATAAATATATAATATATAAAATATATATTTTATATAATATATTTTATAAATATATATATTTATTAAATATATTATATATATGTATTAAATATATTATATATTATATAAATATACATTTATAAAATATATTATATATATTTAATAAATATATATTTATAAAATATATTATATATATTTTATAAATATTATATATATTATAAATATTACTTATATGTATAAATATATATAAATATTATATAAATACATTTATATATATAAATATTATATAAATACATTTATATATATAAATATTATATAAATATATTTATATATATAAATATTATATAAATATATTTATACAATATATATATAAATATTATATAAATATATTTATACAATATATATAAATATTATATAAATATATTTATACAATATATATATAAATATTATATAAATATATTTATACAATATATATAAATATTGTATAAATATATTTATATAATATATATATAAATATTGTATAAATATATTTACATAAATATATATAAACTCACACACACTATTAGTTCTGTTCCTTTACAGAACCCCTGACTAATACAGATTTTGGTACCAGGAGTGGTTCTAGAGAAACAATATTAAGGATGAATTCTTTTATTGTTTTGGGGGTTTCTGGAGTTGGCTACTTAATATGATTAGACCCAAAAATGCTAAGAACTCTACTTCCAATAGTATGGAGAACACTGATAATCCTTGCTGTTAACTGTTTAGAGAGTTATGCAAAATAAATGCATTTGACATTTCTGATTCACTGCTCGTGAGAGGCAGGTAGTTTAGTGACTCTATACATAAAACGTTTGATTATGTGTGAAGAATCAAGGAATATAATAAAGCTGATTGGTTGCTCCTAAGTTCAGTGGACAAAGTGATGAAAGAAAATGATGAACTCAGGGATTCTAACTCCTGGCTTTAGAAGCAGATACTGAGCCTCAAATCTGCTAAGATTGTCCTGAGTTGGAATCTTATCTCCTGTAGAGAAAGAGCTGAAATTGTGGAAAAAAAGACACAAGCTCTAATCATGCAAGTGGCTGACCTGCAATGAAAGGTGCATGCACAGCTTCACCAGGTGTCTGCTGTTAAAGTGAGGGCATTGAATGGAAAAGAATGATCCTCCAACATGGAATGGGGATGTGTGGGAGGACACTGATGAATCTCGGGGCACTGAGTTTGTAAACTCTGGTGAACATTTTTTGCCAGAAGAAACAGCTTCCCTATCCCTAGTAGTGGCAATATCCCCTTCCTGACTCATGCTGCCATCAGCCTTTCCACTTTCATCTGAGGAGATAAACCCTGTACTGCCTGAGGCCAAAACAGTGATGGCCTCCCCTGAGGGAGTTGCCAGGCAAGATAATGTTGATTCTCACCAGGAGCCACCCCCAACACCCCTGTTTGCTTCTAGACCTATAACTAGACTAAAGTCTAGGTGGGCCCCAGAGGCCCCATGAGGAGGTGTGCTACATTTGATAAGAACTGCTTGAGTTTTCTAATTTATATAAGCAAAAATCTGGAGAACAGGCATGGAAATGGATATTAAGGGTTTGGGATAATGGTGGAAGGAATGTAGAGTTGAATCAGGCTGAATTTACTGATTTGGGCCCAGTAAGTAGGGACTCTGCATTTAATGTTGCAGCTCAAGCAGTTAAAAAAGGTTCTAATAGTTTACTTGCTTGGTTAGCTGAAATATGGATTAAAAGATTGCCCCCACTGTGAGCGAGCTAGAAATGCCTGATCTCCTTTGGCTTAATTTAGAGGAAGGGATCCAGAGGCTTGGGGAGATTGGGATGGTGGAGTGGATTAGTCACTTTACACCTGCTCATCCCAGCTGGGAAGGCCCAGAAGATACACCCTTGACCAATGCCTTCTGAAATAGATTTGTGAGGGCAGAACCTGCATCTTTGAAGAGCCCTGTAATTGCTCTTCTCTGTATGTCAGACCTAACAGTGGGAACCACAGTCACTCAACTATAAAATTTAAATACAATGGGAATAATTGGATCTCGAGGTGGCAGGGGCCAAGTGGTGGCACTCAACCATCAAAGGCAAGGGGAGCATAGCTACCGTAATGGACAGTAGAGGTAAAGCAGCAATCAGAATAGTCTGACTTGTGTAGAGCTCTGGCATTGGCTAATTGATCACGGTATTCCTAGAAGTGAAATTGATAGAAGCCTATTCCATTCCTATTTAATTTGTATAGGCAGAAAACTTCTAGGTCAAACGAACAAAAGACTAATTTGAGTTATAAAAATAGAATCATGGCCCCTCAGTCAATTTCCAGACTTAAGCCAGTTTACAGACCCAAAACCCTTTGAATGAAGTGGAAGCTGGGTCCCCTTGAGGAAGGACCAAACTACACTAGCAACAATTTATGCTGTTAATCTTTCTCCCATCCTTCCCCAAGGGGACCTTCAGACTTTTGCCAGAGTAACTGTGCATTGGTGAAAGGGAAATGATCAGACATTTTGAGGACTACTGGACACTGACTCTGAGATGACATTGATCCCAGGGGACCCAAAATGTCATTGTGGTTCTCTAGTTAAAATAGGGGCTTATGGAGGTCAGGTAATTAATGGAGTTTTAGCTCAGGTCCAACTTACAGTAGGTCCAGTGGGTCCCTGGACTCATTCTGTGGTCATTTCCCCAGTGCCAGAATGTCTAATTGGCATAGACATACTTAGCAGATGACAGAATGCCCACATTGGTTCCCTAACTGGTAGGGTGAGAGCTATTGTGGTGGGAAAGGGCAAATGGAAGTGATTAGAGTTAATTTTAGCTAGAAAAATAGTAAATCAAAAACAATATCACATCCCTGGAGGGATTACAGAGATTGGTGCCACCATCAAGGACTTGAAAGATGCAGGAGTGTTGACTCCCACCACATCCCCATTCACTCTCCCATTTGGCCTGTACAGAAGACAGATGGATCTTGGGAATGACAGTGGATTACCATAAGCTTAACCAAGTGGTGACTCCAATTGCAGCTGCTGGGCCAGTTATGGTTTCATTGCCTTTTCTCCATTACTGTCCATAAGGCCCACCAGAAGCAATTCGCCTTCAGTTGGCAAGGCCAGCAATATACATTTACCATCCTACCTCAGTGGTATATCAACGTTCCAGCTTCCTGTCATAATCTTATTCAGAGAGAGCGTGATCACTTTTCACTTCTGCAAGATATCACACTGGTCCATTACATTGATGAAATTGTGCTGATTGGATCCAGTGAGCAAGAAGTAACAAACACATGTGACTTATTGGTGAGACGTTTGCATGCCAGAGGATGGGAAATAAATCCAACTAAACTTCAGAGATCTCTACCTCAGTAAAATTTCTAGAGGTCCAGTGGTGTGGGGCCTGTTGAGATATTCCTTCTAAGGTGAAGAATAAATTGCTGCATTTGGCCCCTCCTACAAGCAAGAAAGAAGCACAATGCCTAGTGGACCTATTTGGATTTTGGAGGCAACACATTCCTCATTTGGGTGTGTTACTCTGGCTCATTTATCAAGTGACCTGAAAGGCTGCCAGTTTTGAGTCCAGAACAGGAGAAGGCACTGCAATAGGTCCAGGCTACTGTGCAAGCTGCTCTGTCACTTGGTCTATATTACCCAGCAAATCCAATGGTGCTTGAGGTGTCAGTGGCAGATAGGAATGCTATTTGGAGCCACTGGCAGGTCCCCATACATGAATCACAGGAGAAGCCTCTAGAATTTTGGAGCAAGTCCCTGCCATCTTCTGCAAATAACTACTCTTATTTGAGAGACAGATCTTGGTCTGTTAGTGGGCTTTGGTGGAAACTGAATGTTTGACTATGGGTCATCAAGTCACCATGCGACCTGAACTGTCTATCATGAACTAGGTGCTTTCTGACTCAACTAGACATAAAGTGGGTCATGCACAGCAGTATTCCATCATCAAATAGAAGTGGTATGTATGTGACTGGGCTCAAGCAGGTCCTAAAGGCACAAGCAACTTACACGAGTAAGTGGCTCAAATGCCCACGGTCTCCACTCCTGCCACTCTGCCTTCTCTCCCCCAGCCTGCACCAGTGGCCTCATGGGGAGTTCCCTATGATCAGTTGACAGAGGAAGAGAATACTAGGGCCTGGTTCACAGATGGTTCTGCACAATATGCAGGCACCACCTGAAAGTGGACAGCTGCAGCACTACAGCCCCTTTCTAGGACATCCCTGAAGGACAGCAGTGAAAGGAAATATTCCCAGTGGGCAGAACTTCAGGCAGTGCACCTGGTTGTGTACTTTGCATGAAAGGAGAAATGGCCAGTTGTGCAATTATATACTGATTCATGGGCTGTGGCCAATGGTTTGGCTGTATGGTCAGGGACTTGGAAGAAGCATGATTGGAAAATTGATGACAAAGAAATTTGGAGAATAGGTATGTGGATGGAGTTCTCTGAGTGGTCAAAAACTGAAGATATTTGTATCCCATGTGAGTGCTCACCAATGGGTGACCTCAGCAGGGGAGGATTTTAATAATCTAGTGAATAGCATGCCCCGTTCTGTGGACACCACTCAGCTTCTTTCCCCAGCCATCCCTGTCATCTCCCAATGGGCCCATGAACAAAGTGGCCATGGTGGCAGGGATGGATGATATGTATGGGCTCAGCAACATGGGCTTCCACTCACCAAGGTTGACCTGGCTATGGCCACTGTTGAGTGCCCCATTTGCCAGCAGCAGATACCAACACTGAGCCCTCAATATGGCACCATTCCTTGGGGTGATCAGCCAACTACCTGGTGGCAGGTTGATTACACTTGACCTCTTCCATTATGGAAAAGGTATTGTCCTCGCTGGAATATACACTTACTTTGGATATAAGTTTGCCTATCTTGCACACAATGCTTCTGCCAAGACTACCATATGTGGACTTATGAAATGCCTTATCCACCATCATGGTATTTCACACAGCATTGCCTCTGACCAACGCACTCACTTTCCAGCTAAAGAAGTGTGGCAGTGGGCTCATGCTCATGGAATTCACTGGTCTTACTATGTTCCCCATCATCCTGAAGCAGCTGGATTGATAGAACAGTGGAATGGTCTTTTGAAGTCACAATTACAATGCCAACTACGTGACAGTGCTTTGCAGGGCTGGGGTAAAGTTCTCCAGAAGACCCGTGAATCAGAGTCCAATACATGATACTGTTCCTCCCATAGCCAGGATTCACAGGTCCAGGAATCAAGGGGTGGAAGTGGAAGTGGCAACACTTGCCATCACCCCTAATGATCCACTAGCAAAATTTTTGCTTCCTTTTCCTACAACATTACATTCTGCTGGCCTAGAGGTCTTAGTTCCAGAAGGAGGAATGCTGCCACCAGGAGACACAACAATGATTCCAGTAAACTGGAACTTAAGATTGCCATCTGGACATTTTGGGTTTCTCCTACCTTTAAGTCAACAGGGTAAGAAGCAAGTTACAGTGTTGGCTGGGGTGATTGACCCAGACTATCAAGATGAAATCAGTTTACTTCTCCAGAATGGAGGTAAGGAAGAGTATGCATGGATCCATTAGGGCATCTCTTAGTATTACTATGCCCTGTGATTAATGTCAATGGGAAACTACAACAGACCAATCCAGACAAGACTACAAATGGCCCAGACTCTTCAGGAATGAAGGTTTGGGTCATTCCACCAGGAAAAATAACACAACTTTCTGAGGTGCTTGCTGAGGGCAAAGGGAATACAGAATGGATAGTAGACGAGGTAGTCATTAATACCAGCTACAACCACATGACCAGTTGCAGAAATGAGTCATGAGGAGTATTTCCTCTATCTTTTGTTAAAAACATGTTTGTGCATGTATACACTTGTACTAAGAAAATATCTTCATTTTATTTCCCTTTTCCCATATCCTGTGACATAAGATTTATTGACTTCATATCAGCATTTAAGTGATGTTAACTTTATGTAATAGCATTTGGGTTGGGATTTGGTGTGTTTCTGGTTGTACGAAGGATAGTTGTACTATGTTAGATGAAATTATGACCTTATTATTGTCTTTATTTGAAGATTATGTATGATCTCAGGCAATGTGTATGGGGCAAATTGACAAGGGGTTGACCTGTGATGGTTAATACTGTCAACTTGATTGGATTGAAGGATACAAATTATTGATCCTGGGTGTGTCTGTGAGAGTGTTGCCAAAGGAGATTAACATTTTAATCAGTGGGCTGGGAAAGGCAGATACACCATTAATCTGGGTGGGCACCATCTAATCAGCTGCCAGCATAGCCAGGATATAAAGCAGGCAGAAAAACGTGAAAAGGCTAGACTGGCCTAGCCTCCCAGCCTACATCTTTCTCTCATCCTGGATGCTTCCTGCCCTTGAACATCAGACTCCAAGGTCTTCAGTTTTGCAACTCAGACTGGCTCTCCTTGCTCCTCAGCTTGCAGACAGCCTATTGTGGGACCTTGTGATAAAGTGAGTTAATACTTAATAAACTACCATACACACACACACACACACACACACACACATAACTAATAGGATATAAATATCCTATTAGTTCTGTCCACTAGAGAACCCTAACACATGTACTTTAAAATTTCATTTATTTAGCATATGAAAATGAATTTTTGAAGCTCAAAATTCATTGTTTCCATTGTTGCACAAGAAATAGATGTCCCTCAATTACATAGTCAGAATATAAACAAACTGGATATTATTAGATTTCTACATTTACATAAACATTATGGAAAGACCAAGCTAAAAGTCTTCCTTTGTCTTACAGCTAAAAATATACACAAAACTTTAGATAACCAAGTTTTTATTTAGATTTAAGAGCTTTATGTGAATATGTGTTGATTCTGCAAAATTTAAATTTGCCTACACAAGCTGGGCTGTGAAAGGGATAAACGCAGAAAACCTATCTGAACAAATATTTCTCAGCACAGACTTTGTTGATGCAAGAATATAAAGAAAATAAATTCCAGGTATGATTTACTTAACAACTTTGACTATTTGCCTTATTAATATGATCTCAAACCCACAACCACTATAAAAAATAACATCTAAATGAAACAAGCTTAAAATATACCATTACTGTAATGACAGCTTCAAATATCAACACTATGATTTCACTCAGTGTTTTGAGTTCTAATGTATTTCTTCCTTCTCCAAAGGTTAATTTAATGTTTTTCACTATCTCTGGGAGGGATGTTTTTGTACTCATGTCTAGTCTATTACTTACAGTTTAGGAGTTTAATCCAAAAGTATAATAAATCCTAACGCAACTCAGAAAGTTCAAAATACTTATGAGACCAAATCAACCCAGACATAATTTACTTCAAAAGTCTGCCTGACCCCTGCAAATACTTCACTAACCAATAATGTGAAGTAGAGATTATTGTCTTTATCAAATATTATTAAAGGCACACCTCAGTGCTACCAAGGAGCTAAATTTTTAATTACATTTTATTTTAACTTTTTATTTTAATATTTACACACAGTGGCTATTATATACAGAAATTTATCTGATAATTTCAAGCTACAGACACAAAGTCATATATAGGGTGTGATAACATTATATAAATGTTCAGATAAATTTTATTATAACATTGAATTATTCATTTCAGTTGTATTTTATTTAGTAGCCATTTGCTGAAGTTGTTTATATTTTTGATAACCCCGCTCCCTGCTCCTCAGTGTCATTCTCCATGCTTCTGAGAACACATGTGAATAGCTAAGATTTCATTCATTTCAAACATACAGATATATATATGTATATATATATATATCTGTCAATATGTCATTCTGTGAGGGAATATGGTCTCAACTTCCCTTTTCAATGAGATTCTACATTTTATGTTGATCATTTCTTCAGGTAAAAATACAGGTTAACTCTCTGAAATCTTCACTCATTGCTCTTTGTTCCTAGACCTGTGTTCTTTTCTAACTCAGCTTGCACATATTTAGGGGTTTGCAAAGGCATGTTAAAGCAGTATGAATTTTACTCCCTCTGCATCAATAAGATGCTCATTCTCAGATTTCAGTGTTAAGTCTTCAATACGCATGGAAAGTTTACTTCTATCTTACTGAAATAATTAATTTCTTAAAATGTGCTGTATCTCAACAATTGCTATAATTGCTAATATACCTTATTAAGGGCCTCCTATGTATAAGAATGGTATTAAATATGTTGTACATATTATCTCATTTAATCTTCACTACAACTCTTCAGAATAGGCACCATTATCTCCAATAATACCTCTTGATTGAGAGTCAAGGAGGTTAAATATTTGCCCAAGTTTACCCAGCTAAGAAATAAAACAGCTAGAATTCGTATCTACTCTATATGACCTTAAAGACCACAGATTTATATATTTTTCCTGAACTTCCTATCCATAATAGGGATTTTTTTTTTATTTTCATGGAACAAAAGGAGACTTGTTAAGTAACATTTTATTTCTCTAGAATAATAATAAAATCTGCGATCAGAGCATTCACCCTAATACTGTGTTCATGTTTCTTTGAAGATGGTTAAGAGCTAGTCATTGAAAACTTATAAGGTTATTTTGCTTTGTTTTGTTTTTGGTGGGGATGTTAGGGGAAGAAAATGTATGATTGGCATTATATAATTGGAAATTTTCAAAGCCTCAGTTATGTAGTCCAGTGTTTAACGTATATTCAAAAATAAATTGATAAATGTCCCCATTAGAATTCTAATATGGTAATCATTTTTGCTATTTAGGATTTGGGGTAAAATATTGTATTCTAATTATTAAATGAATGTTCTTTGTTCACATGTAATAGTCATGGTAAATTTAGCAAACAATTCTCCCCGGTAACTTCTGAATATCCTGCTGATTGTGGTTTGTATTAGTTTGGGCTGCTATAATAGAGCACCATAGATTGGATGGCTTATAAACAACACATTTATTTTTTGTGTTCTAGGGGCTGGAATTCCAAGATCAGGATGCCAGCATAGTAGGAACCCAGTGATGGCCCTTTTCTGGGTTACAAACTGCAGACTTACTGTATCCTTACCTGATGAAAAGAGAGAGAGTTAGCTAGCTCTCTCGGCTCTTCTTATAAAGGCACTAATCTCATTCATGGGGGTTCCACCGTCATGATGTAATTGTCCTTCAAAGGCCCTCACCTCCTAATACTATCACTTAGGGAGTGAAGATTTCAACGTATGAATTTAGGTGGGGAGGTCACAGACTTTCGGTCCATAGCATGATTCAAGATGGGTTCCAGTATCTGTAAAAAAGAAAATTGCTCTGACCACTAAGACAGGGACTTTCAGACCTTTGAGGGTTGTGAAATTTCTATGTGTTATCTTTTGACTATGAAACTTCAAAGTGCTGCTGTGAGCTAGGAAACATGGAGAAACTGCACATAATTTTGCCACAGGTCAATTCATATTTCACAGAAATTATGCATTTAAAGTAGACCTGGTGGTTTTCAAACCCTTAAATAGCAAATTTTGGGGATGCTTCAATAATGATAATAGTGCTAAATCTTAGTTTACACACAAAAGAACTGTAATAGAAATTATCATGGAAAGGCAAAAATTGTTTTGATTTTGGGGGTGAAAATATGGTGATTCTGACTTATTTGTTAGATATTCTTGAGCAAGTCCCCTACTGATTCCTACTAAGGTAAGAAAATACTAGTAGATATATTAACACTTATATTTGTCTGCCTACTAGTGGTCGAATATAAAGACATATTTCATTTGTTTAAGGTGAGTGGTCTATGACAGCAAAATAATTAGATTGCTAACCTAAGGAAAGAGCACAGCTTTAAAATATCTGAGCAGATTAATAAATGTTTATGCTTGATGAGAAGGCATTAAATTTTGTCAATACTGGAATTGCGGTCAAGGGTAGGTCCTCAAAACAGCTTCCTAAGACTTATTTTCTGGGCAAATCTGTTATTCTGTACTTCTGTTTGCTCATCTCTAAAGTAGTAATAAAAATAAGCCATGCGAAGAATAAATACGTGTCAAAATACTTAAACATAGTTCATGCTAATAAAGTTTGCTTATTCACTCATAGATGTGAAAGTAATTGAACACTTATCTATATAAATCTTTAGAACAGAATAATTTATCAACATATTAACAAAATCGTCTAGTAATTTGATATCAGGTAACTTTGTATCAGTATTAACTTTTGCCCAAATTCATGAGGCTATCTAATGTAGGTAGAATGGGTTCTAATTGAAATTAACAGTCCTTTCTAAATTTCATGCTGCTCTCCTCCTAAACCTTGACCCAAATATACTAATAAGTCAGTTTCTTCTTGGTGCTTAAGTCACTACAACATAAGATTAAGTTGTTTACAAAGGCATGCCCAGATTTTAGGACTGCAATGGTTAGGATAGCTTCAATAACATCTTACACACCAGGCAGGCTGAAGAAACACAGGTCAGAACAGAGCTGCTTGGATATTTTTATACAGATAACAGCTATTCACCTCTATTTCCTAGAATTGAAGACTTTTCATAACCAAAATCTCTTAGTATTTTAGTATGCATGTATGTATAATCTGTGTATGGAAAAATAACTTCAGCCTTTTATGTTAACATTATTCAAGAACTGTATTTCAGCAACCCTCAAGTGACTTGGCAATGTGCCAAAGAGAGCAGATATGGGAGATGAAGAAAGTATTAGATGTTTATGTTAAGTCAACCACACTTAATTTAAAGGCTTACTCATTCCAATGACAACCAAAGCTTTGAAAACCCAAAAACATATTGTCTAACCCTAAACCACTTCTAATAAACAAGGACTTTCTAGTTACCACAGAAAATTATGTTTCAGAGGCCGATTATGTGTCTTCTTGCCCTTTATGGATAATGGCTTTTCTCTTCCTCTCACTTCCCTTCCCCTCACCCCCAGAGAAGCTGGCCAGTATAAACTGTGCACCTAGAATGGTCAGCAAACAGAAGAAAAGATCTTTTCAAACAAATTTATTCATAGCTCTAGTAAGATACCATTTACAAAATACTTAGGATGTTCTAGCTAATGAGCTTATCACTATGCACACACACCCCATAGAGAGGATTATCACACACACTATATATACACACACATATATGTCTATACACATATATACATATATATGTCAATATATTTAATTGAATCTCAAAATAACAAGATGTGATGGGTACACTACATTTTAATCCTCAAATGGACATGACAAAACTGAAAGCATGACAGGTAAAATTAGTTACCCAAGTTATCCAACAGTTAGTTCAGTTAGATATCGGTAAAATGAGGCTATAGGTCTACTTCTGCTTAACTCCCAAGCTTATGAACTTTTATTTTTCAGCATTGATGGCTTACGCAGAGTTAGACACTGTGCTCAGGGACTAAAAGTACAAATAAAGACAGGTAAGACCAGATTCTTTGCCTTCAATGAGTTCACATTTGAGTTGGGGAAAGTCTATATAGTCCTATTTTCTACATTTAATTAAAATGTAATAAAAATGATTCTCAAAGTGTAATCCCCAGATTAGCAGCATTGACATCCCCTAGGGACTTGCTAGAAATGCAAAATCTCAAGTCCCATTGCAGACCTACTGAATCAGAAACTCAGAGAGTGAGTCGCAGGAATCTGTATTTTAGTAATTTTGGTGCACACTGAAGTTTGAGAACCGGTAGCTTAGAAAGACATGGATTAGAGGGGAACGCACAACTTATCTCACAGATATGAAAGAGGGATTTCTGGAGAAACTGACACTTCAGCTGTGTCAGGGAGGATTTATAATTTTTTTTCAGGCAGAATGGATAGCATGACCAAAAATAGATAGGGAAAAACTCCATATGTTTGATATCCCTAGAAAGTGAAAGTCAGGGAGTGGCAATAGATAAATTAGAATTAGGTGGGCTGTAGTCTACCCATATGCCTTAAATATTTTAGGCCTTGTTTTATGTAGTGCTGGCATAGGAGCTCTGGTAACTGAAAGGACCTACTATAAAAAGGGCTTGGAATTGATGTTTCTGCAAAATTTGGGTTTCCTGTTGGTCACATAACTGTTACTAACCGTGGTTACCTTGAGCTTCCTCAGGATGCTCTTTGGTGGTGTGAGGAAGATACTTTGCTGTCCAAGAAGGAAGTACTATAAGGAAATCAAGAAGGAATTGACTCAGTTGCTTCTTAGAAACTCTGAAGCTCTCTGGGCTGTGACACATTTAAAGAAAGGTGACTGAATTAGAGTGAAAAGAGGGAAGAAAAGGGGTAGAAGGATAGGAAAAGGTGATTTTTACTAAGATTCAGATTAACTTAATTCTAAGTAAAACACACACAACATTAACAACAACAACAAAAGGGAAATTGAGATTAACCACAGGGATATATGTGGATATTGCATATTTACTATATATATATATTATGTTTTATATATATATAAAATATTATATATATATATTCCATGCCCAGCCCAGGAGATAAGACATTATCGCATTATCTAAGCTACTTTTGAGAGTACCAAGGTCAAGGATCAGCACTGCACACTTTCACTTATTCCCTCCTGTATCTTGAGAGCATTCTGTTGTTAACAAGTTTGTTGAGAGTATTATTTTCTAATCATTCAACCCATTTTATTGGGACAAATCTCTGAATATCATCTTTCTCTATCTTATTGATCAAGTGTATCAGAAGGATATATTTGTTTGCACAAATGGTATATGTATTTTGAACAGGGAATGATTACATTTAAAGTAATTATTTTGCATTAATTACTGGAGAATCTGAGTTACATAAATTGTCATCCAGATTTAAGCATTGGTAGCAATATAGCAACCCTTCAAGCATTGGTAGGTAGCACTGTAACAACCAAGAGACACTTTCCAACTCTGGGGCCTCCAGTGGCTGAAGCAGTTACAAATTTAGCATTCTCTCATTTTAAGAATCCCAAAATATTTAGTGATTGCCTTGATAGGATTCCAGTAAAAAACAGCTGTCAAAATGTATCATATATTTGCAAGCCTGCTACACAGCACAGTTACTATAATTGGTTGAGGTTTGTTTTGTTTTCATTTGACTTTAAAAAGGTTATGGAAAGCATAATTTAGGTTTGGCCAAACTTTTATTAATATTCACAGAAAGACTATAGTCCATAATTAGACTTCAGTTTTTAAAGTAGTTCATATTTGAAAAGTGGAGAAGCACGTACGTAGCAATTTATCTTTACAGCTTCATTAATCTGAATGTCAAACCCTCTTGGACTGTAAAGTGTATAGTGTTGTAAATCTTCACTTTTTAATTTGTTGTATCTGCTACATCAAATAGCCAAAGTAATTTGGTCAGCTGTGTTTTCATTGGTTTTAATGTCTCCCTTCTACCTCCTCTCCACCCCAAACTATGACTTAATTACACTAAGGTTATCTTCTTAAACCAAGGCAAGAAAATATCCTGGAATACTAGTTCTTTCTGCAAAAACTATAGCCCTCAAAACAGAGGGTATACTTCACAAGCCACATGTCTATCACAAGTATCTTAGAATTCAGGGTAACTAGTTTACTGGTTAAATCAGAGCCAAAGATAATAGCAATTTCAAATTGCAAGATTTCTAGAAAATATGTGGAGGTCCTTTTGAACATTAAAAGAAAAATAATCTTGCAAGGATTTTTTAAAATTATTCTGTTCTGCTTTGCCCTGAACATTAAATTTTATTACTAGATTTAAGAAGTGTACCTCAAAAAATATTAATTATTTTACTGCACTGAGTTACATTAACTGTGTTTTAAGCAAGGCACTTTCCTAAATTGATGAAACCACTTATAGACTCTTTCAATTAAAAAAGTCACACTCTGTGGAAAATATTAAGCTCAGTAACCATTGGGAAAAAAATATCCATTCAGATGGCTTCAATAAACAGCTTTATAATTATGTCTCATAGATGAGAACATCTATACTAACCTCTTGCTCTCCATGTAGCCTAATGATTTTTACTAACTAAAACACATTGCAATTTCATTGTTGAACCTGATCTTAGCCAAAAGGCCAATAAGTGATTATTTAATTGTTAACAAAAATCATCTATGCAAGATCCCATAATTCCAAATTTTCACAATTTCTACTAAATAAATGTTTGGGGCATTTAATGCAAGCATCCAGCAGAAAATTGCCAAAGGTTACTAGAGTATCTATTGAAATTCTGGCCATGAAAATAGAAAGGAAATGGTAAACCCTACAGATACTCTGGAAGAAGAATTATAGACTTGATGGTTAAGAGAACATTTTAGCTCAAGGACAGTGGTGAATGAAATACCATTGGTAAGGGCGGGAAAATAGGATACCACATAGAGTTATCCATGAAAGTATAATCATAGTCTCTTCAATATACGATGCTAGGAAAACTGGATTTCCACATGCAAAATAATGAAATTGAACTGTCTCATACCATATACAAAAATAAACTCAGATGGATAAAATGACTAAATGTAAAACCTAAAACCATAAAACTCCTAAAAAAAAAAAAAACATAGAGGAAGAGCTCCTTGACATTGACCTTGGCAATGATTTTTTTGAATATCACACAATAAAAGCTCAGGTTATAAAAGAAAACAAAAATAAATGAGACTACATTCTGCACAGCAAAGAAAACAATCAACAAAATGAAAAGGCAACCTATGGACTGGGAAAAATATTTGCAAATCATATATCTGATAATGGATTAATATCCAAAATTTGTAAAGAAATCATACAACTCATTAGGAAAAAAACAAATAACCTGATTAAGTAATGGGCAAAGGACATGAGTAGATATTTCTCTAAATAAGAAATAAAAATGGCCAACAAGACCAGGAGTGGTGGCTCATGCCTGTAATCCCAGCACTTTGGGAGGCTGAGGCGCACAGATCATCTGAGGTCGGGAGTTGGAGACCAGACTGACCAACATGGAGAAACCCATTTCTAGTCTCCACTAGAAATACAAAATTAGCTGGGCGTGGTGGCACATGCCTGTAATCCCAGCTACTCAGGAGGCTGAGGCAGCAGAATCACTTGATCCTGGGAGGCCAAGGTTGCGGTGAGCCGAGATGACACCATTGCACTCCAGCCTGGGCAACAAGAGCGAAACTCCGTCTCAAAAAAAGAAAGAAAGAAAAGAAAAAAAAGAAAGAAAAGAAAGAAAGAAAGAAAGAGGCCAAGAAGTACGTGAAAAGGCATTCAATATCACTAGTCATCTGGGAAATGCAAATTAAAACCACTATGAGATATCACCTCATGTATGTTAGGATGGGCATCCTCAAAAGACAGATCACAAGTGTTGGCGAGGGTGTGAAGAAAAAGGAACCTTCGTACACTGTTAGTGGGAATGTAGATTGAGTTCTGTGAAAATTAAAAATGGAACTACTGTATGACCCAGCAATCCTTCCTCTGGGTATATACACAAAGGACTATATTTTTACACTAAAGGAGTATATCTACACCACTTTGTAAGAATACTTGCATTTCCATGTTCATTGCAGCAGTATTCACAATAATGAAGATACAGAAACAACTATATATAATACACACAAATGGAATATTATTTAGCCTCTAAAAAAAGAGATCCTGCCATTTGCCCCAACAGGGACGAACCTGAAGGACTTTATGCAAAGTGAAATAAGCCAGACACAGACAAAAATATTGCTTTATCTCATTTATATGTAGAATCATAAAAAAAGTTGAATATACAGAGATAGAGAGTAAAACGGTGTTACCAGGGGTGGGGGTGGAGAGGAGAAGAAAGTTTATGAACTGGGTTGACTTCTAACTACACTGTTTATCAAAATAAATTAATATGAAAGGATTAAAATGGAAACTTAAAGCAAAATGTAAGAAGGAGCAAGGTTGCAATATTACAATTTAGGATATTTTGTTGAACTAAAACAAATTTTGAAAGATTCCTAAAAACAAAAAATGGGTTCTATTTTAGAACCCAGTGATGTTGTTCAAAATGCCATAATATATGTATAAGCACTTTGAAAAAGTCTTTTGCAATGATATATTGCTTTTAGCCTAATTAATATTTGTTATAGTTTTAAAACAAAGACCTATTTCAGAATTCAAGTGATAGAAACATTAAAGAAGTTTTACATTCTATAATTTTACATCCATTTATGAAGGAAAATGAGTTTTTGAATACATTATAATTATGTAATAATGGCACCACTTAATAGCTATGCTACCTTGGACGAATTGCTGAAATATTCTAAGCCTTAATTTTCTCATCTATAAAATGGAGGTGCCTCGTATGGTAGCCAGCCCCCAAAATGGCCCCCAATGGTCCCTGCCTGCTAGTATTCAGGTTGTGATCTAGTTCCCTCCTACACTGAATAGACTGACTTGAGTAACTAACAGAATATTGTGTAAGTGACATAGTGTTTCTGAGCATAAAAGAGATTGAAGCTTCTGTCTTACTTTATTTTTCAACCACTCTTTCATCTTAGAAGTGGATACTAGAGTCTCAGTCAAGCCTTCAGAGATTTGCTGCCTTAAATAACATTTTAGCTGAAATGAAGCATGAGAGATCATGAGCCAGAATTACTCAAATAAGCTGCTTTCCCTAATTTCTCACTTACAGAATTATGAAATAATAAATACAAGTTTTGGTGTAATTTTTTATGCAGCAATAGATAACTAATCTACTCTGCCTGATAAGGTCATAAGAATTACATACTTGTCTGAAGCCATTTGAAAAGTATCTAGAATGTAATGAATACATAAGAAGTGTTCATTAAATTCCTGAGCACCAGTAGATTTTAGGAACTGGGATATGGATACACTGATATATGTAGATATCTACATGGAATATATATGTAATTACACACTCGTGTGCACCCACACATATATGTATATTATATATGAATATATTATATATTCATATATGTATGCCATATGTGAATATATTATATATTCATATATGTATATTATATATGAATATATTATATATTCATATATGTATATTATATATGAATATATTATATATTCATATATGTATATTATATATGAATATATTATATATTAATATATGTATATTATATATGAATATATTATATATTCATATATGTATATTATATATCAATATGTTATATATTCATATATGTATATTATATATTAATATGTTATATATTAATATATATTGTGTATATATACATATAATTTAAAGTCCATATAGTCAGCACTCTATTTCAGGTGTCAGAAGACCCAACTCAAGCTGTCTTAAGCTGAAGAAAAAGAAAAATTTGTTGTTTAAAAATAACTAAAAGTATGATAGGGCTTGTTTCACAAACTGCTAAATTCAGGAGCTAAAACAGTATCCTATCTCTTTCCATCCATGGGCTTTGCTCTCCTCCATTTTTGTTCTCATATTGTTTCCAGCAAGAGGGATGTGGAAGCTTCACTGCTACATCTTTTAGGTTCCAATCTGGTGGAAAAGAAGATGTCTCACTTTTGCTTTGACTGAAGAATGTCAATGTCCCTGAACCAATCACACAGCCAAAAAAAAAGAAATTCCATAATTGTCCAGATAAAATCACATACTTCTTCTGAACACATAGGCTAAAAGGGAAAGCGGGGATGCCTATAATAGGCTGAATGATTCTGGGCAAAAATAGTAGATGTCTCATAACAATTATATGAAGTAGACATATTATTATCACATTTCACAAAGGACAATAAAGCACAAGGCTTGAGTAGTGTGCCTGGAATTGCACAGCTGTAAGTAGAAGAGCCAGTCAGATTCCAGAGCCCATGTGCTGGACCACATTATTATATTTCCTTTCTAAGGGACCTTTTTTTTTTTTATTCTATTGTGGCTTAGCAATTTGAGTTATTCAGATGCTACATTTGTTCCACTTCCTTTATCCTAAATTATACCCCTGTCCTATGTAATCTGGTCATTTTCTCCAATTATCCAATCTACTTAAACTAGGAAACTTACTAAACCTTGAGTCATATCAAATACCTCAAGTAGGCCTGACCATAGAAAATCAGTGCACAACCTTGTTAGTGAAACCTTCCCGTATATTTATTGCATGAACAATGACATTTAATCATTTACCACCCAGCCCTTCCCAATAGTCTTGGTCTAATTCCTAGACTAGAAAAAGGCTGTGACAGGCAAGTTTTGTTGGCTATCCCTTCTGCTTTTTATGAAACCCATTCCTTTAGGATAAAGTCACAAAAATAATTTACTCTTGTAGAATATTATACAAAATATAGGTGTTTACCTATCCTCCTCATCTAATATATCAATATCACATACACCTCTCTTATTTGAAATCCATTCTTACCTCAGGCTTTTTTGAAGTGTCACTTTAAAATTGTGACTGATTATTATAACTACACCTTTAACTATAACTTTAAGGTCTTAAGGATCAACAATATTAATAAAACACTTCTGATGATAAAGACAAAATTTTCCACGAAGTTACTTTTTCTGAAGAAAAATGGTGTGAATTTGTACCTCAAAACAGGATTTTAAAAATTATTCATCAACAATAGAAGATATTTGGATAGAAGGCAACTGAATTTTTCTTTCTTTACCTAATATACTAGGGTCTCTTGACCCTGATTACATATAAAAAATGAGGTGTAATAATGTTATCTAAATATAGGAAGCATATAATTATGTATATAATAATTACATAATACACATTTTTCTATAAATTTCTTATGGAAGAAGGTTGTCACAAAGGATCAGCATAAGCATAAACATTCATGAGTTTTGGGTCTAATTTATAGGCATAAAATACTTAGAAAAAAATCAACTTATCCATCCTTCTATGGATTTTTGTTTACCACCTATTCTAGTTCTACTATAAATATAGACTCTGTCTACCCAGTCAATATATAATGTCTCACAGGATTACATATTTTGTATATATTGTTTCCAAATTTAGTTGTGTATATATATATATAATTTCTATTTGCATGTCATTAGCAATAGTCCTATGTATATAGTCAGACAAAATTTTTTATTAACCAAAGTTCCCATTTAAAGCAGTAGATATAAATAGGTTTATTGATGCTAAAAGAACTAGGAGACTGATAAGAATAATTTGCTTTCTTCTAAGGCAACCCAAAAGTTGTTCTTCTTAAATACTGAGGACATCACGTAATTTCTATACCTTATGCTGTGATGTTGTACACATTTTAGTAATTCATTCAGCAAAACATCTGGGTAGACTTTAATATGCTGTGCTAATTGCTATGGGAATACAAAGAAGTACTTTGTCTAAGATTTCTTAGTGGTGAAGATGGGACTCTGAGAAAGTGGCAATGCCTTTCAAAAGCTTACAATGGCATAGAGAGATCATCAGCAGCAATAAATTCCAATAAAGTAACATACTATTATTAAATCCCAAATGAGTGGTGAGGCAATAGCAGCTAAAGACATGCTGGTGAGGAGAATAAGAGGTGTTGATGGAGTGAAGAATGGAGGCAGTTTCTTAGAAAACCTCGTAGAGTTTGTTTAAAGAAGAAGTAGGATTTGCAGATGTGGAGAGAGGGAAGGAGACCATTCCAGACAAGGAATAAAAGTATGAATCAAAGCATAAAATGAACAATTGTGGCAATAAGAGTAGGAATATGAAAAAAATATGACAGAGTCTAAAGCAGTGTAACAAGCTGTAGAAAATCATGCTGGAAAAGTACAGTAAATACAAGCAGAGGTGTTTCCAAGCTCTGCTCCACAGTATGGAGGCTTTGAGTCAATGAGATTCCGGAGAACATTTATTTTTTCCAGTCTCTCTTACATACTGAATTTTGCCTGTTTTCTTCAAAGAAAGGTCCTATCATTTTATGTACAAATAAGTGAGTAAATAAATAAAAGCAGATAATCTTTGTCTTCTCAAAGATTGAGAAGACACAACAGTGCCAATTAGGGGGGTGGTAAAGTGCAGATTTAGGAAATAGTATGCCAGTGCATGAGGAGAATACCTGCCAATGGGGACTGACAGTGGAGACAGGGTTGGAAGAGGCTGAAGGAAGGTTAAGAAGACCACAGCCTGTTGCAGTATATATATGAACAGTGTCTGATGTCTGAATTTAATATCTAGTAGGAGTTCAGGCATATGGTGACATGGGCAGAACCTAACTGTGGTGAAATGAAGAAAAAATAATAGATGCAAGGGGAAAAGAAGACAAATAACTCATATCTCTAGCACTGTGCTAGACAGGTGACTTGCCTGGTCGCATTTAATTTCCATGCCACAGTAGCAAAGTAGGATACATTGCTAGGTAGGGGCTGGACAGGCTATGACCTGAAGTCAGAGACAGCAAAAAATAGCTTTTCTGTGGTAGAATTAGATAATATACTGAGTAGAGGTGTTGACTCAAAAAATGCTCACTTAGTGCCCATTTTGAAGACATGGAATTGCTGAAAATGAACTTATTTGTCAGAGAGTGCAGCATAGAGATTAAGAGCACAGACGCTGGATCAGACTGCTTAATGCAGGCTTTAGCTTTGCCCATAGTTTGCTACGTGATACAAGGGTGAGCTACTTAACTTTGTACATCAGGTGTTTTTATCTATAAAATGGAGATAATGGTGTCTGCCTTCTAAGCTTGTTCTGAGTGTTGAGTTAGGTAATATATATGAAATGCTTAGAAAACTGTTGGGTATATAATAAATAGTAAATACATGTTAGCTATTATTTTACAATAGTTTAAGACAGTATCTACAAAATCATACAGATGAAAATTTGTGGGTTAATTTACATGGGATAAAATTGCATAGAACTAAAAACACATACACAAATGAGTACAAGTAAAACTGGGGCAATCTCAGTGAGATTGGTGGATTGTGTCAATGACAATATACTGCTTGTAATATTGTGCTATAGTTTTGTAAGATGTTGGCATTGGGAAAAACTGTGTAAGTGAAATTATTTCAAAATAAAAAGTTTAGTTTTTAAAAGATGTAGTTGGTTCCCTATCCC
Organism: Homo sapiens; assembly: GCF_000001405.40. Taxonomy (NCBI): domain Eukaryota; kingdom Metazoa; phylum Chordata; class Mammalia; order Primates; family Hominidae; genus Homo; species Homo sapiens. The sequence goes on along the minus strand of NC_000004.12, from coordinate 80,778,694 downwards.
TTTATAAATCTGTGGAAGAAATGGCTATGTTGCAGTGCATTGGTTTACATGAAGAGGAAGACTGCATGCGATATGGATAGAAGAGTCATCTAGTAAGAGCTTAAAAGTAATTTGTACCAGCAGTATCTGTGAAGAAGGAGGGGGTAGTAAACCAGTAATTTTCTACAAAACAAAACAAACTCAGTTTAACTGCCAGTAGAATTTGGAAAATAAAGGAAAGATTCTAAAATTCCAAGGCTATCACAAAAACCTAATTTGTTCACTGCACAATAACATCTAGTTGAGGGATCAACAAAGGGTGCAGCCCAAACAAATTGCCTCCATCAGAGGCAGTACCACTTTTTTCCAATTTGTACAAGGGGGCTCTAAGGGTTGATACAGGTATAAAATAAGAATTGCTCTTCTCCAAGTTGGTATAACAAGCATATTCTGCATAGGCAGTATCTAAATATCTGTTGTACTTCAGCTAGAAAGTCTTGAACCAGTCTATAGCACAAACTGAAAGAAAGAAGATACTTTAAAAAAAATCCTGAGACCCAATAAGGAAATTGAAACTTTAGAAGCTGGAATTGTTTTTCTGACTTTTCATGTCTCTGAGGAAATACCAGGGATTTAGGAATAATAAAGTAATTCTGGTGACTTTTTATTGAAGTGTAAGCTAATTTTGTTCAACTCAAAGAGCTAAAAGTAAATTTTTTTCTCTTTTTAAAAATTGGGCTTTTCTATCATAGAAATGTCTTAAAATACAAATGTGGATAAAATAGTAAATGAATTTCCTGTACCTATTGACCAGCTTCAAAACATATCAACATGGTAAATCTTGTCTCATCTATTCATGTAGCCATAGTTCCACTGAATTATATTAAAGGAAATCATAAATGTTGTATTATCATCTGCATGTAGTTTAGTATACCTCTCTAAGAGTTAAGGGCCCTTTAAAAATATCCAAAATAGGATTGTCACACTAAAATTTCCCAATTGTCTTATAAATGTCTTCTTTGAGTTAGTTTATTGAAATCAGGACACAAGCAAGGTTGCAAAATTGCATTTGATTAATACGCATTTCAAGATAATTCCTCCTCCTCCTTTAAGATCTTGACTAAACGGTCCAAGAGCGTAGAAGTAAGAAGTGATAGAACTAAGATTTGAACATCAGTGTTTTATATCCACATGACTTATATTTCTCTGTATGCCAGGCTGAGAAATTTGGGAGAGTTAGTAGTATCAGCACTGAAGTAATTAAACAGGGAACCTAGCCTAGCCTGAATGAAAAGTCAAAAGCAAGCATAGGACTACTTCAACAGAGGGTGAGTGTCAAACAATCCAATGTCTCAGCCATAGAAATGAGTAGATTCAGGAGGTGTGGGATGCAGGGGTAGGAATGGGGGATGCAAAACTTTAGTATACTTTATGGAATGTAGCAAATATTGTATCTGAACACATGCAAAAATCATTTGACTTTCAAAGAGGATAAACATTTGTTATGGCTCCCTCCAAAACACAAATGCTTCTCTATAAGAGTAATGTGCAGAATAGGGGAAATTTAGTCCTTTTTGGAGTGCATGGTCACCTTTTTGATCACACCTGAAAACTGCAATCTGGGGAGCCATCCTTCAGGAAGCAATAAATAATCAAATTTGAGTGTGTATAAAAAGAGTAGACATGATAGTAGAGCAACCAGTCATCAAAAAAGGAAACAATTAAGAAAATGGGGGTGTTTAGAGTGGAAGAGATTTCAAGAGTATATAACCTATTTTATTTATAGGGTTATAATCAGGTTGAATAAGACTGTGTTGTCCCAGAGGGTTTTTTTTTTTTTTAGGTTAGAGAGGTAGAAATTGTTATTGTAATAACATTTTATCTGATTGTTCAATTATTTGAGCTGTTTGAAAATGTAATTGGCTACCTCTGTAATGATTCTTTTTTGCTTTATTTATTTTTTATTTTACTTTAAGTTCCGGGATACATGTGCAGAACATGCAGGTTTGTTACATAGGTATACATGTGCCATGGTGGTTTGCTGCCCCTATCAACCCATCATCTAGGTTTTAAGCCCTGCATGTATTAGGTATTTGTCCTAATGCTCTTCCTCCCCTTGCCCTCATCCCCCGACAGGCCCGGGTGTGTGATGTTCCCCTCCCTGTGTCCACGTGTTCTCATTGTTCAACTCCCACTTATGAGTGAGAACATCTTAATTCTGTTGAAGTCACAGACACTTCTGAGAATCTGATTAAGACATGGACCGTAATCTTCATATAAATATATTTGCATATAGTTTCACAGTATTAATTCCTGACACGCATTTATGTACTACTATGGAGTTCGTGACCCCAAGTTAAGAAGCACCACGAGTTTGAAAGTTCTCTGGTGCTAGAAACACCCAAGAAGAAGTGGAGCAACCACTATGGCCTGACACTGTAGTGAAATGGGAGTGCAGGTTGATGAGCTTCTGGCAAAGTTCTAAAATAATTGTGAAAATTGCCAAATTAGCATGATATACTTGTATGCTCCTGCTCTTAATCACCTGTACAAGCATTTCCTTGTGTCCTAAACAGTTTTGAAAGCCTCTATTACCTTGCAGCATTTCACTAATTCCACCTTTTAATTATTGCCATGGTGTTAGAGTTGGCAAGAGTGCTTTGAACCTAACAGCAACAGTCTACATCCAGGGGGAGAAAAAGAAGAAAAAGAGATGCAACCTGAGCCAGAACCATCATCTGCTCTACAAGACAATTTCTTTTATAAAATGCCAATATCCTCAAATGGCATCAAATTGTCATATTTATTTTGTTGATTCAGTTGGTTCCCAAATTGCAATTCAAATCACTTACTGGAATATTTCCATGTGTTAAAAATAATATCAAAGAAAACAAAGACTCATGTCTTTCTCACTTCTTACAACCATTTTGTTTATGAATTTGCATCCCAGACAAACATGTTTTATTTGGATGGTCAGTTTTTCGAAAATATTCTCCAAAATTCTCAGAAGTCCAAGATTTTAAGCCTTTTTACAAACATATTTGGGCTGATTTTTTTTTCATACTTTTAGTGTTCTGGTGCTTTTTTTTAGTAAACTTTCAAGTTATTTCTTATTTTGCAGTGTAGTCTAGTGCAAAGACTACTTTGATGAAACCTGAAGAGTGTGTTCTCATTTTACTCCCCAAACTGATTAGCTATATAATTTAAAAATACATCAACCAAACAGCAAGAAAATAAATATGGTGTATTACAGATAGAAGAGACCTAGTCATAAATTAGTAAATGCAATGTATAAATAAATAAATTAAATATACATTATGTGAAAGTAATTCATGCTCATTGAAGATGAGATATATCTCTTAGATATACGAGAAGCATAAGAAAAAATAATCTTTGCCAGTAATTCCACCATGCTGAGATATTGCGATTATGTTACAATACTTTCTTGTTTTCTTTCATACCTTACAAATATATCCCTATGTTAGACATTTAATTAGAAGCATATTTATTTAGGTTTATATATGGGTTACCTATATAGGGATTTATATATAGGTTTATGTCTTAGTTTTGCAATAAGCATATCCCTATGCCATTACTCTTTGAAAATAGTTTTATTTTCTATTTTTTCTTTTTCTTTTTTTTTTATTTTTTTATTTTATTATTATACTTTAAGTTTTAGGGTACATGTGCACATTGTGCAGGTTAGTTACATATGTATACATATGCCATGCTGGTGCGCTGCACCCACTAACTCATTTTTAATAGCAATATTCACCAAATGTAAGCACTATTTTTTAATGAGTACTTTCTTTGACATTGAATTCATCCTAATTTTTTAATTTCATAAGTGTGACTGTGATGAATGTCTGTGCCCATATATATTTAGAAGCAGAATCACTAGATCAAAGATTGTGGATATTATAAGCTATTAAAGACATACTGCCAAACTATCTGCATGAGAGTTTTCTGCAATGGCATCATCCATGTATGTGAATGCTGATTTCACATTACTAATTTTGCCAACAGTGTATATTAAATGGTTGCCAAATCGACATATGAAAATTATGTAGTTATCACAATATATATTTATATTATTTTGTGGTTATCTCAATGTACATATTAATTAAAGGTGAATTTGAGCATTTTTACACATTTATTGACCACTTCTAATTCTTCTGTGAATTGTTTAAGGTCTTTGTCCAAAGAATCGTGGTTTAAAGGAAAAGAGAAAATAAATTTTAACTATATATACATAAATATGCATTTTTTATAGTAGCAGAAAAAATATAAATTGATACATGCCACTGGAAGAGGGAGTTTGAAAGTGCAGATTATTTAGTTTTTATATGTGACTTTGTTTTAAGTTAATATTATTATTATTTTTTAAAATAAAGTATCAGCATGTTTCCCCTAAAAAGGTATTTGTTTATGCAAAGTTTTGGTGACTTCAGGGTAACTTATGTGCCTGGAAAAAATTACTTATAGCTATTTGAAGTCTTCAAATTAATACTGATTTAACAACCTCACAAATTCACAGGCCTATTTTACTTAAGGTTTTAAGTTCAAATTTTAAGTTATCTGACATTTTCTTCATTATTTCTTTTCATACATTGGGAAAATCTTAAAAATCTCTCAGAAGGAAGCTTCTGATTAATATGTGATCAGCCGAACATAAACTAAAATTTTGTAACAAGTTCTACCATTTTAAACTTAATTAAATTATTTCAAACATTTTCAACTACATCTGATGTATAAACCCAGTAACTTTCTTTTGAAGTATTTCAATTACTCCAGTTAGCAACTTGCTAGAGTACTTAAGTAACTTTAGTAACTCTAATATTAAACTCCAAAATATAATGCAACTTAAGACTCTTTAATATTATAAAAAATTTATAACTTTTGACCTAAGAAATTACAATTTCTAAAAGATTACTCAAATGTACACTTAATTGCAATCAAGCACTACCTGGCCAAATATTCTAAAACCAAACATCAAGTGAAATGGATTGACCAAATTATTACAAAAAAATTTTCATTTCTAGATTTAACAAAAACATAACAAGGCTCTGATAATATATGATACTCTATCATTTATATTTAAAATTCTAATACTGCCAGGACTTAAAGGAAAATTACCCACTATGGAAAAAAGAAAAGTGGGGTTATCATCTCTGCAGAATTAATAATTAAAAATGGACTGCAGACATCAGATGGGTTTTTCCCTTGTCACTAAGTAAAAAAAGCTGGTCCACTTGTTTTAGTTACTATGTCAACCATGTATTCAAATCCATACCCTCCAAATAGGATAGGCTAATAGGACTAGTCTGCTCAAGAAACTTTAGTAGAGATCATTTTTTGGCATTTTCAGTCAATAGCCTCACACCCTATATACTTTACCACCTACTAGGACTCAACTAATCTAGTCCCTGTTTTATACTATTCTGAATTGTTTCATATTCTTACAGTGTGGTCAGGCCACTATTCTTATGAATATTTAAATGATATCTGATTACATTCCTTATATCTCCCAGAATTTTACCAATTCTGTGGTTACATCATTAAAGTCATACTAATAACATCAATAGATAAAATAGCTCCTATTTCTGTTCCTGTGTTAGTTTGCTGAGAATGATGGCTTCCAGCTTTATCCATGTCCCTGCAAAGGACGTGATCTCATTCTTTCTTATGGCTGCATAGTATTCCATGGTGTTTATGTACCACATTTTCTTTATCCAGCTTATCTTTGATGGGAACTTGGGTTGGTTCCATGTCTTTGCTATTGTAAATAGTGCTACAATAAACATATGTGTGCATGTGTCTTTATAGCAGAATGATTTATAATCCTTTGGGTATATGCCCAATAATGGGATTGCTTGGTCAAATGGTATTTTTGGTTCCCAAACGCTGCATGTTCTCACTCATAAGTGAGAGTTGCACAATGAGAACACATGGACACAGGGAGGGGAATAACACACTCCGGGGCCTTTTGGGAGGCGGAGGGCAAGAGGAGGGAAAGCATTAAGACAAATACCTAATGCATGTGGGGCTTAAGACCTAGATGACGGGTTGATAGGGGCAGCAAACCACCATGGCACATGTTTACCTATGTAACAAATCTGCACATGATGCACATGTACCCCAGAACTTAAAGTAAAATAAAAAAAAAATAGTGCCTATTGGGAAAGTATGCTTTCTCAAGTTATTATAGATATATAATCTAATTACATATGAGATTCCATTCAACTTAGCAGATTAGAGTGAGTTCCCGGAAATGAAACTCCCACCTGAATCAGACCTAAATGAAATTAATACTACTCAGTACCCATGCAGTTATGTTCCTGTGTCCTCTATGGTCAGTCACATCTCCTTTTCTTCGTAGCCCATAAAGTGATAAGAGACCTGCACCACACTATTGTCTGGCAACTCTTGACATATTTTTGTCAATTTTCTCCAAGCTACATTGAGGTTTATCACGTTTTGTAAAGCAAAGGATATTCACTAATCTCTTATTGACCACTAATCTTTACGATCTGTTTACTTGGCTGATACCTTAAAGGTGTTTTCCTGCCACAAGCCAATAAGAATTTAGATTTTTGAATCCTGTATTATTATTCCCCTGCCTCTACTCAGCCAGGAATAATAGGTCAGAGCTGTTCATAATAACCTGAAGTACTGGCCAACAAAGCTTGGGACTGCAATTAGAAAACACGTGGCAGTCATGGCTAGTGGTCCTTTGATGTCCATTTTTCCTTTTCGCTATAACAATAAAAATTCTAGGCTGGGTCTGTCATCGTTCAGCAAAGAATAACATTCACAGACTGCTTTGCAGCTAGGAATAGACATTTGACCAGGCTCTATCAAAATGGGATGTAAGAGGAAATCAATGCTTGCAACTTCTAGTCATTCATCTTAATTTAAATGACCATGCCTTCTCTGTCCTTCCACTTGTCCATATTACCTGGAATTATGAAGGGGGCTGGAGGGGCCACCTTAAAGCACATGATGGAAGACATGTATTTAAGATGCCTGAGCAATAACATAGAAGGAGCATGGGTCCCCACTACCTAGGGGCCATCACATCAGCCCTAGATGCTTATAGTCACCCTGTTACTTAAAAGGGACAGAAAAGCCTATCTTCTTTAAACCAGTGGAACTTTACCATTTATTATGAGTTGAATAGACCTCCAAATAACAATAAATCTGAGAAGTAATATGCATAACTAGTTTTCATTATTTGAGAACATGTTATGATTTTATTCAACAGAATTATGAGAAAAATTTAGCTACATTAATTTTACCATCGAGCATTGTAATTAATATCTATATATGTAAGTTTGTCTGTACCAAATATCTATATTTCTGAGCAAATATGGATTTATCTCTGCATTGGTGGGAGGTAAATAAATTTGGTCTGTGCCTGACATTTTGAAAAAGCATAAACATCTATGCTGGTTTTAGCATATTAAATTAAGAAAATATGCTTCACAATAACCCTAGGAAGTGGGGGTATAGAGTAGTATTAGTGGAAGAGGCTTTGGAGTAAAGGAGATCTGGATTGGATTGTGGCTGTGCTACTGTGGCAGGCAGAATTCTCAAACGGCCCGCATGACTCCCACTCCCTGTTACGCATGCCTAGGATAACCCTCCCCTTGAGTGTGGACAGATCCTGAGAATACGATGGGATATGATTCCCATAATTGGTTATTGATCAGTTAACTTTGAGTTCAGTAAGAAAAACAAAATATCTAGGTGGGCCTGACCTAACTAGCTGAACCCTTAAGAAATCATGGGAATGCTTGCGGTCAGAAAGATTGAAAATGCTGGAGAATCTATGGAGGGAGCCATCTGGCAAGGACTTGAAAGCAGCCCCCCGAAGCTGAGAGTGGCCTCATCTGACAAATAACAAGACAACAGGGACTTACTCCCAAAACCAAAAGAACTAAGTTTGGCAAACTACCTGAGGGAGGTTGGGAACAAATATTTCCTTAGTTATGATTCCAAATGAGGCAGCTGGCTGACACCTTGATTTCAAAGAAACAGTTTTTTAAAGGAAAGACAAAGTAAAATTGAAATATGTATACACATTTTTTATAAATTTATATTAGCAGATTTTAAAAACTGTGAAAGGACACACGTCTCTTGAGGGGATGTTTGGAAGAGCAGAAATATTAGTTGGTTTTTAATATGTACCTTGTTTGTACTTAAAAATAGGAAGGATGACCTCTGTTATGTAATGGCAGAATGCTTAGCAAAATTTTTTCCTGCAGTTATGTAGAAAACACAGCTTTCAGTCCATAAACTTGTATATATAGTTAAGGAGATTGTCAAGCAAAGTGCTAAAGGTGCCAGGAGCCTATAGTAAACTGCCAGAGTATTTAGGCTATTTCAAGAGATTAGGAGTTGCTCCGTATATCCTCTCATTCAAGCCAGAGGGCCTCTAGGAAGAGGAACAAAAAATGAAGAAGAGGTTATGATAAAAAGATTTATGGATATGACTTTTGTCTAATCGAGCAAAAATCTATAGATGGAAATCTATACGTAAGGCCCACAAAGTCCTCGAGAACATTATATTAGCTGAAATGCTGCACACTTGACTTGAAAGGGACCAAGAAAGTGCAAAGAAAGAAGTTTGTTAGACCCCCAAAATTCTTCTGACAGGAAACAAGCTAATAAACTACTCAGCTCTGAAAGTTTGCTACTTTTCATAAAAAGGAAGGATGACTCAGAGGGTGGAACTAAGAAACTAGAAGGTAGAACAGAGAGCCAGAGAGATTAATTCCCAGGCCTAACAAACTAATCAATATCTGATAATAAGCAAGAAGACAGGGGCCTTAGTGACAGCTACAAGAAAATGAATTATGCCAATAGTAAATAAGCTTGAAAGAGGACCCAATCCTCAGATAAGAATTGCAGTCTTGGTCAACACCTTGATTTTGGCTTGTTGAGGCCCCTGAGGAGGGGACTGAGCTAGTCCATTCATGGACTTCTGACATATAGAACTGTGAGATAATACATGGGAATTGACTGGACATGGTGGCTCATGCCTATAATCCCAGCACTTTGGGAGGCCAAGATAGGAGGATTGCTTGTGTGCAGAGGTTCCATACCAGCCTAGGCAACATAGTGAGACCTCATTTCTAGAACAATTTAAAAATTAGCTGCACATGGTGGCTTATGCCTTGTAGTCCCAGCTACTCAGGAGGCTGAGGTAGGAGGATCACCTGAGCCAGGAGGTGGAGGCTGCAGTGAGTCGAGATCACACCACCACACTCTAGCCTGGGCAATAGAGTGAGACCCTGTTTCAAAAAATAAATAAATAGGAATTATATAAGCCATTAAGTTTATAGTATTTTATTGTATAGTAACATAAAATGAATATACCCAACGAGCCATGTCACCTTTAGTAAAAGTTTTATAATAGACTTGCTAAGCCTCAACTTCTGCATCAGTAAAATAGGGTAATACTCATGTCATACCGTAGTGTATTGAACAAAACAATTCTTACTAAGCTCAAAGCAAAATGTCAGGCACCTACTAAGCACTAAACAAGATGTATTTATCATTATTTCCAAGAAAAGTATAAAGCCCTTATTTTTTTCTTTCAAATGACAGTATTGGCATCTCTCAAAGATTTAACCTAAGTACATTTAACCTAAAGTAATCTAATCTGCTCTGCTCCCCTCCCTTGTCTTCACTTTTGGAAAGCATTGCTGCACCTCACATGGTTTCTTTTTACATAAAGCTTTACTTGAATCATCTCAGACAGCATCAGTCAGTCCATCCTCTGAGCTATCATAGCATATGCTATTAATTATTGTTAAGGTACACTTCATTCTACCTTGTATCTGGTGGCTTGTATGTGTATATTGTCTTGAAATTGAAGACTGTCTTAACTCAGTTGTACTCATTTTTGTATCTATGCCTTGGACCCTTGACACTCAAATTTGCCAATCGCCTATTACAGAGTAGAAACTTAAACAATATATATTGAATTGAAATAGATCATCAAAAGGGAATTCTATATAATGTATTCAGTTCATGCAACACTTTCAATTTTCCATGGCAAAAAAATAATTTTCTGTATTTTTGAGATGGATATATACTAGACCTTCTTTGGCAAATCAATGAGAATAGGCATGGTTAATAACACATTTATTTTCATGTTTTAAATATGAATCTATTTTTAACATTGCTGCCAGTTTGACTCTACTGTGTATAAACTTAACAGTAGGGAGCAACCAGTTAGTTTATAAAGTTTAGTTAAAAATAAAATGTTTTGTAAAGTATCTAAAAATATGTTATGTGTTTGATGGATTAGATTTTTCATATTCCCACTGATTTTTTTTCCTGGTGTTGTGGAACAATCTCTGTCTCTTTGACTTTAGGGTAACCAATTTAAACTCAAATTAACAAACAGATACATTCTACTATTAGTTGTCACCATCCTAATTCTGAGGTGTAACATGCGACTTCTTGAGAACATCTGTGAAATCCTATGTGCTTTGCAAAAGCTGTTTTTAGAATCTTAGGTGTTATTACTGATGTTTGGTTACTGATGATTCATCCTCCCTGAAGGGAAGCAAATGGATGCCAATAATGTTGACGGTACTCTGGACTGCACTTGTTAAAATGTTCTCACTTGCAAAATTGAAGCACAAATATATTTTTATATCCAAGGCAAACAAATTGTGTACAACCAGGCATATTGTGTTTTACTAGGAATTCCAGCTTTGGTTTTTAAAATATCAACACTAATATTAATTTTCTTAAAAAAGAAGTATATTGGGCAATTAAATGGATATAACTAGTGAAACAAAAAATAGAGAGTCTATTTTGATAAAGGAGAGTTGTGTTTGATAAATAAGTGAACAAGTCAACCTAAGTTACTCAAAAGAATGAAAGTCATCCAATAATAAATAAATAAGTAAGGTGATGAAAGTTAGAAGAAAGGTAGAGTTGAATACTGAAAACACTGCTAAATCAGCCACAATAGTCTCCCACTATCTGTGATTTCCTTTCAGCAATTTCTGTTACCCATGGTCAACTGAGGTCTGAAAATCGGTGAGTATAGTACAAGGTTTTATTTTTTTATTTTTTTAATTTTTTTGAGACGGAGTCTCGCTCTGTTGCCGACGCTGGAGTGCAGTGGGGCGATCTCGGCTCACTGCAAGCTCCGCCTCCTGGGTTCACGCCATTCTCCTGCCTCAGCCTCCTCAGTAGCTGGGACTACAGGCGTCCACCACCACGCCTGGCTAATTTTTTGTATTTTTAGTAGAGACAGGGTTTCACCATGTTAGCCAGGATGGTCTTGATCTCCTGACCTCGTGATCCACCCGCCTCGGCCTCCCAAAGTGCTGGGATTACAGGCGTGAGCCACCGTGCCCCACCTAGTACCAGGTATTTTGAGGAGAAAGAGAGATTGTATTCATATAACTTTTATTACAGCATATTGTTATACTTGTTCTATTTATTAATAGTCACCATTATTAACCTCTTTGTCTAATTTATAAATTAAACTTTATTATATATATAGGAATACACATGTGTATATTGTATATTGTACATAGAGGAAAATACATACAATGTATGTATTTTGTATGTATTTGTATATGTACGTATAGGAAAAACATAGTACATATAGGGTTCAGTACTATTCTCTGCTTCAGGCATTCACTGAGGGTCTTGGAATATATCCTTCGGATAAGGGGGGACTGCTGCCTTGACCTTATTATATTACCCTGGGCTTAGAGAAATGAAACATAATTCATATCTCCTTAGAACTGAAATTTACTCTTTCGCTACATACACATACACATAAATACACAACTATTTTAACAAATTGACTCTCTATACTTAAGATTCTTAAATCTAGGAGTTAAATGAGACAATGGCTTCATAGCAATTTGCAAGGCCAAATTTGATGAGATCTGGCAAAATTTTAGTCAAATAGTGTTCTCTGACACTCACAAAATCCTAACATTCATGCTAATTTGTTTTGTTTTGTTTGTTTATTTGTTTTGGTTGGTTGGTTATTTTGAACTAGTATCGTATAGTAAAGGGAACAAAGGAAGTGGAGTCAAAAGGCCTGAAGAAGAGCCATAAAGTTTTTCCAAAACTCAATGTCATTCTCTGTAAAAGAAGAATAATATTCCTCTCCAGTCTGTATGTCTGTATGTGTGTCTGAACGCTATATAAAAATGTTGTTAAAGTGTTGTATTATTCGCAGCTATCTCATAAATGAAACAAAACTAGTCTTTGGCCATCATCAATGATTTCTTGTTGTATCTTTGTAAAGGAGATAAAATTTAATTATCTTAAACACACGATAATTGTTTAAAAACAGCAAATTATTTTCGTCTGTATAAGTACAATCTTAGTCCTGAACAACAGTTTAGCTTACTCCAGTATTCTATTGTAAAATGTATTGTCTCTATGAAATTTAGAGCTATTTTCTCACAGTATTTGATCTCTATTGCTGTTTACATTTTATACTGCTGCAGACATTTTAACTTTATAGGTGATTGGAGTTTTTTCCTCCAGTTGTTTTAAAGATTTTCTTTTTGTCTTTGGTGTTATACATTTTCACTAAGATGTGTCTAGATGACAGCTTATTTTCATTTATCCTGCAGTTAACTTATTGTGCTTCTCAAGTCTTAAGATTCATGAGTTTCATCTATTCAGAAAATGTTTAGCTATCATTTTTTTCAAGTATTGACTCACTGCCATTCTCTATATGCTATTCTTCTGTGAAATTATAGTAGATGTGTGTTGTACATTTTGGTTTTATTGTCTGTATGTCAAAACCTCTTTCCTGATTTACAAGTTTCATCTGTGTATTGCATTCTAGGTAATTTATTGAATTCTATGGTCTCAATTCGTAATTTATCTTTTTAGTTTGTTTAATGTTATTTACCTTGTGCACTGAGATAGGATAAATAACATAAATAATATTAAATCCTCTTTAATTATTACACAATATTTTTATTTCGTTTTAGAAATTCATTTAGTTTTTGTTTACATTTATTTTTATATTGGTGTGCTAACAAACCTGCATGTTGTGCACATGTACCCTGAAACTTAAAGTATAATAAAAAAATAAAAAAATTTATTTTTATAGCATCTTATTATTTCTAAGGGTCCAATTCTTTTTATTTTTATACCTATTCATTTAAAAATACTATTTTTAGATTCTCAATCAAATTTTGTTAAGTTTTTGAAACTATGATACTTTAGTATTTCTTGGTGTGTTTTGTAAATTTTTATTGTGAGCTCATCCTTAGTAGCATTGTTTCTGTTTTTTTCTATGGGAATCACATTCAGCCTGGATGTGGAATTACTTTTTGAAAGAGGCTTAGTATAACTTTTATGCCAGCAAAGTTGGATATCATCTCTGAATAAAGACCAACTTCCTGAGACTGTTTCAGCATGAGGCTTCCTGGAAGACATGAGTACAATACGTTTTAGATCCCAACATGGGCAAGGCCCATGCCCAGAGTTTTGATTTTTCAGATAGTCTTTTTATTTTCCCTCATATGCAGGACCTTGGAAAAGACAGATCAACAGTTTTTCTTAATTTCATCCTGTGCCATGAGGCAGAAGATTTCTTTTCTTTACTATTATTATTATTATTATTATAAGTTCTGGGATACGTGTGCAGAATGTGCACGTTTGTTACCACAGTGGTTTGCTGCACCCATCAACTCATCATCTAGGTTTTAAGCCCCAAATGCATTAGGTATTTGTCCTTATGCTATCCCTCCCTTTGCCCCCCAACCCCTCCACAGGCCCTAGTGTGTGTTGTTCCCCTTCCTTTGTCCATGTGTTCTCGTCGTTCAACTCCCACTTATGAGTGAGAACATGCAGTGTTTGGTTTTCTGTTCCTGTGTTAGTTTGCTGATCGTTTTCAACTTCATCCATGTCCCTGCAAAGGGCATGAACTCATCCTTTTTTATGGCTGCATAGTATTCCATGGTGGATATGTGCCACATTTTCTTTATCCAGTTTATCATTGATGGGCATTTGGGTTGGTTCCAAGTCTTTGCTATTGTGAATAGTGCCGCAATAAACATACATGAGCATGTGTCTTTACAGTAGCATGATTTATAATACTCTGGGTATATACCCAGTAATGAGATCGCTGGGTCAAATAGTATTTCTGGTTCTAGATCCTTGAGGAATCACCATACTGTCTTCCACAATGGTTAAACTAATTTACACTCCCACCAACTATGTAAACGCGTTCCTATTTCTCTCCATCCTCGCCAGCTTCTATTGTTTCCAGACTTTAACGATTGCCATTCTAACTGGCGTGAGATGGTATCTCGTTGTGGTTTTGATTTGCATTTCTCTAATGACCAGTGATGATGAGCTTTTTTTCATGTTTGTTGGCCGCATAAATGTCTTCTTTTGAGAAGTGTCTGTTCATATCCTTTGCCCACTTTTTGATGGAGTTGTTTTTTCTTGTAAATTTGTTTAAGTTCCTTGTAGACTCTGGATATTAGCCCTTTGTCAGATGGATAGATTATAAAATTTTTCTACCATTCTGTAGGTTGCCTGTTCACTCTGATGATAGTTTCTTTTGCTGTGTAGAAGCTCTTTACTTTAATTAGATCCCATTTGTCAATTTTGCTTTGTTGCAACTACTGTTGGTGTTTTAGTCATGAAGTCTTTATCCATGCCTATGTCCTGAATGGCATTCTAGGTTTTCTTCTAGGGTTTTTATGGTTTTAGGTATTACATTTAAGTCTTTAATCCATCTTCACTTAATTTTTGTATAAGGTATAAGGAAGGGGTCCAGTTTCAGTTTTCTGCATATGACTAGCTAGTTTTCCCAGCACCATTTATTAAATAGGGAATCCTTTCCCCACTGCTTGTTTTTGTCAGGTTTGTTGAAGATTCGATGGTTGTAGATGCGTGTTGTTATTTCTGAGGCCTCTGTTCTGTTTCATTGGTCTATGTATCTGTTTTGGTACCAGTACCATGCTGTTTTGGTTACTACAGCCTTATAGTATAGTTTGAAGTCAGTTAGCGTGATGCCTCCAGATTTATTCTTTTTGCTTAGGATTGTCTTGGCTATATGAGCTCTTTTTTGGTTCCATACAAAATTTAAAGTAGTTTTTTCTAGTCCTGTGAAGAAAGTCAATGATATTCTTGATGAGAATAGCATTGAATCTATAAATTACTATGAGTAGTATGCTCATTTTTACCATATTGATTCTTCCTATACATGAGTATGGAATGTTTTTCCATTTGTTTATGTCCTCTCTTATTTCCTTGGGAGGTGGTTTGTAGTTGTCCTTGAAGAGGTCCTTCACGTCCCTTTTAAGTTGTGTTTCTAGGTATTTTATTTTCTTTGTAGCTATTGTGAACGGGAGTTCACTCATGATTTGGCTCTCTGATTGTCTATTATTGGTGTATAGGAATGCTTGTGATTTTTGCATATTAATTTTGTATCCTTAGACTTTGCTGAAGTTGCTTATCAGCTTAAGGAGATTTTGGGCTGAGACAATCGGGTTTTCTAAATATACAATCACGTCATCTGCAAACAGAGACAATGTGACTTTCTCTCTTCCTATTTAAATACACTTTACTTCTTTCTCTTGCCTGGTTGCTCAAGGCAGATTATTTCTAGCTCACTCTTTTACAGAGGGTACATATCATAGACTGAGTTTGCTGGAAAACAGATAGAGAAAAAGCTTAGTGTTCAAGCCATTTGTTAGGGAATGTTCTTGGGATTAACACCTGTGGAAAGAAAAGAAAGAAAATAAGATTTGAAAGAGAAAGAAGTTGAGCTGTGATCCAGTTACATCAGCTGCCTCAGCTGACCCTAAGTAGAGCTTTGGAGTTGGTATGGGATCTATAGCTGTCTCCCATTGCGGAAAAGTCAGGACTTTTTTACCCCTGTGTCCATCATTGGATGCTGGCTGCCCTGGGAAAATAGTGTGGCTTTGGTGACACAACACTCTTTGGCTGAGACAGTTCCCACAGGGAGCTGACAGCAAAAGATTGTTCACCAGTCATATCCCCAATAACTGAAGTGAGTCTTTTATTCCTGGAAGGGGATATAGCAGTATATCAATCCTACAGAAAGGACCCAGTACAAGGATCTCAATTCCTCTGCTTAGATTGGCTCTAGAACTCATCTGTTCCCAGATGAGAATTAAAGTTATGCTCTAACTTACTGAAATTAAAATTACTAACCTTATTTCCATCACACTTCACCCCCTATACCAGGACCAGGTGCATTGATAGTTAATGGGCTTCTAGTTCCACTTTACAATTTTTGGAATCATCCAAACCAAGATGTTTTTGCAAGTATGACACTCAGACAACAGGACTGTCTGAGGCAAAATGTGAAATATACTATTTATTTCTAGTATCTTTCTTTCTTGCAATTTTATCCACAAGGTCAAATTTTTGGTTCTTATATTTCCTCCTGTCAGAATTTCTATGGAAATATGAAAGTTTTTCATGTTATTTTAGTCCATCAACGTTCAGAAAAGGAAAGGTATGTTTTCAGTTTTTGAAACATATCCTGAGGTTATCAGTATTGTATAAAATGTAATATATATATATATTTCTCATTTATTTTATACCAAAATAAAATTTAGCACCATGAGTAAATGCTTCAGCAATAAAAGAATCCATTACCTGTTGATTTAAAGTTATGCTTTTATTATATTTGAATCCCAAACACATATAAACATGTACACAAATACTTAAACACTGAAATCTGTTTTTGTATTTTTTATTCTTCTCCATTAACTGCTTGTCTATTTCTGTACTAAAATTATATTGATTTGGTGTTTGTAGATTCATAATTTATTTTACTATAAAAGGTGCTTCTATGCTCTCCTAATATTTTCTTAGGATAACAAGTTATTACTTAAAACAAATATTAAAATCCCATTTTAATTGTACAAAGCTCCCATGAGAAATCTGATTGGAGTTTATTACATTATTCAAAGCCTGCATATTCTTGTTGACTTTGTCTGGTTATTATTCACTTGTCTAATTATTTATTCTTATTAATGCAATAATAAAAGTTTTTTAATAAAGTTAATTATAATTGTACATGAAAGCTTTTGCTTTTTTCCCATGTATATTTTGCAGCCATATACTTTATTGAATATACATTCTAGTTTTTATAGCTTGTGCATTTTAATCTAAAGTGAAGTATTTCCTCCTTCCATATAAATATATTAATATTTTAGCTTCAAAAATACAGTATATCATTGTAGCTAAAGATCAACCATGCTATTAATAACTATAGGAAGTAATGCATAATTGTGGTTTCTTTGGCATTGTAATTTGAAGCAAAATTCCACTGTCTCTTAGTTTATAAGTAAGTCTTCCTATATTTCTCTTTGTATGAAAACAAATACCACAATAGTGACCACCCAGAAGTAAAGAACTTGTTACTAGGAGGAAAGAAAGTTTTGGTAAACACATGTTCTTGTTTATGTTATACTTCTAGACAAATTTAAATAGAGATTTACAATAAAATGAAGTTTTCATCAGATTTAATTATTTCTAAAACATCTGTTTTGAGGCAATAATACCAATTAAAGCACACTTTAGGGTCAGGGAAATTTTAAAATGGCATGTCTTTTTGAATGACTGAATTGCTATCAAAATGAGTATTGGAGCAGGAAAAATTTAAATACATTTATAGCCCAATTTACAAAATAAAGAGTAATTTGTTCATCAATGATTACCTATTACTCCTGGGACTCGGCATTCCAGGTATACTGAAACTTTTCACTTGTCCCAACACATGCTGTCTCTCACTCTGTGCCATTTCACATGTGACTTTCCTTCCCTGGTTTCCCTCCCCATTCGTCACCTGCACCCATCCATCAGGTGTCAGTTTAAATGTCCCATTGCTCAGGAAGACTTCCCTAGTGACTCTATTGCAAGGGCTTCATCTACTCTCTTAATTTTACCTTTAATTCTCTGTAAATTTTACTTTACATGTTTCTTATATTTGTGTTCTTGAAAAAATTTGAACTTTGAGGAAAAGAGATGGTCTTGTTTAGAATTGTATCTTCAACAACTAGCAAACAGCCTGCAAGTAGTAACTTCTTCTTTAATAATTGCAGGATAAATGAATCAATATACATATGATCTTTAAAAATAGCAGTGTGGTAGTTTTGTACTATGTCATCTTAGCCAAGCTGAAACTATGTTTCTCAGGATCTCATTCCCTGTATAGCTCTTGGTTAAAGTTAGTGTGAGAACAATTTGCACAAGGCCATTACACTTTCAGCGTTATTATGGTTACATATGGTGGGAAAGATGCAGAGGTGGTGGTGGCTCCAGTTTGTCTTTATTCTCTCTTGCTCTGTGCCCAGCTCTTCTTCCTTCCAGGCACCAATACCTCAGCTTCTCCTACAGTTATGTCTAATTCCTATAATGAATCCATTATTCCATTATTTTCACAGTAGTTCTGCTTTTCTGATCAAATCCTGTCTCACACAAATAATCACTAATGTATTTCTTTCTCTTTCATATTATTTCATATATTAATTTTTAAATGATTTAAGTTAAAAATGCAAATATTCAAAATTAAGGTTAGTGATTTCCTATTTGACTTTACTGCAGGAAAAAATTGAATGAATTTAGAAATTTAAAAAGATAGATAAAGAGTTAATGAAAAGCATAAAATTGACTAAATCAAAGTAAGCTAAATAAAATTTTTTCTCTGGCCCTGGATACATTTCCAAGGCCAGAGAAAAAAGACTTGCAAAGAGGCTGCCTGCAGCTGTGGACAAACATCTGTATAACATAATACCAAATACAAAATTGCCATGATGAGATCCACAGGTTTACAAAAAAAAACACGTTTAAGGAGACATAGGTTATTATTAGGTGAATAAAGTTAAGGAAAGTTTGTCTTGGAATTAGTTAGATCACTAAATAAATTCAGTGTAAAAGTTACGTAAAGTCATAATTATTTCTATTTTTATTAAGTCTCTGTAAAACTGGCATCAAGTAATTCCAGTTTGCTATGTTTACTAGAAAGCCTGGCCTATACTCTAACAACAACAAAATAATTTTATAAAGAAATAAAATAATGGTGGTGTCAAACTTGCCATGGATATACAATAGTCAATATTACTAATTTGATCTTTTCCCCATTTCTTAACATAGGTGAGAATGGTAATTAGAAGGAGAAAAATACAACAATAAAACAAAACAGATAAAAACTTGCTCACATTTTTCTTTCATGGTTTTTAAGCACAACCATGATGACAGTTGCCCGCCACTCAAAAGTCTGTAATGAGTAGAGAATAAAGTTCAAACTACAACCAGGGCATTTAAAGCTTTCCCTTTAATCAGACCTTAAACTACCACTTTCAGTCGTGTTTCCTATAACCTTACCTAATATACATTTTGCCATGTAGTTATTGTACACATTCTGTATCCCCTAGTGTACCATGATTGCCTTGAAGACCAGGTCTATATATTGGTCAGCTTTGCATCATCTTCAGAGCCTATACACAGTGTCAGTACATAAGAGATATTTATCATATAAATAAATAAATAATAGATGTGAAATAAGTGATTTGAACCATGCTGGAAAAAAATAAGAAGTTTTAGGCATGAATATTACACAAATCAAGTTTTATGTCTTTTTGTGGCCATCACTTATTTTTTAAATGTATATATTGTAATGTTTTAAATATGTGTATATTTTTTGAAATAATTTGAACTTCACTATTTCTTTTCCAGGATTAATCTTAAGAATAAGCATCTATGATAGTATGAAAACATCAATAATATTTTTGTGCCATTTTAATATTTAGAGGATTTATTTTGACCAATAGAATTTGTCCTGATTTTACCCATATTTAAGAAAGTTTACCTCTGCTTTATGGTCATCTTTGATATATAATATTCTGTTTGGCTAGCCTTAGAAAACATACCTTCACATGACAGATGTGCATTTTTTGCCATCAAATGAACAAACATTTTAGGAAGGGAAATGCTGATATATCTGTATTAGTATCATTTAAGACCAAAATGCTGCCATTTAGACATTCCTTATTATCCTCTATGGTTCTTATTATAAATATGTTATGGAACATAGGTCTATGAGGAAGTGATAGAAACAGGAGACAGAGAAATTCTGGGCAGAAGAGAGTGGGTCTCTGGCGAGAGCCCACTCTCAAGCCTGGAACCATGGCCCAAAGTGACAACGTACATCCCTGTTTTCCAGCTCAAACATTGCCTTTTCCAAAACTACCTATGGCCCTCCCTTCCCCCCATCCTATGCCCATAAAATCCCAGACTCGGCTGGCAGAGAGAGGAGAAGCAGCTGTACATGGGAGCCTATGGCTGGCCATTGGAGAGAAGCAGCTTGACTTCAGAGGGACAGCTTGAAGGCATAGCTTTGGAGAGGCATCTGGCCTGGGACAACCAGACTCCAGGAGAAGATTACCTTCCCTCTCTGTCCCCTTTTCAGCTCCCCTGCCCCCTGAAAGCCACTTTCCTCAGCAATAAAATTCCCCACATTTACCATCTTCGATTCATTTGTGAGACCTCATTCCTCCTGGATGCTGGACAAGAACTCAGGTCCAGGTGCAAAAGGCTGTCACACTGACACTCCACTGAGCTGTTAACACTTAAGCCATCCATAGACGGCAACACTAAAGGGGCACTGAACCTTCTTCTGGGGCTTCAGGGGTCACCGGCATGCCTGCCCCAGTCACTGCCACAGGGCCTGCACGAAGTTATGCTCCTGCCAGGTTCCAAAGGTGCTTGCTCCAGCTCCTTCACCTGCTCACCCATGCTCCCCCTCCCGCAAGGGGTAGAACACAGCAGGTTCCAGTGAGTGGAGTTTTTCCCTACTGGCTCCGAAGCACCCAGCTAGGTCCAGAGTCTATGCATTCCAGTTCCCACCCACAAAGGGGTCAGGGAAATATCCTGCTTCAGAAGTACCCATTTAGTTCAAATGAGACTGCGTAAATGAAAAAAAAACCAAACCAAACAAACAAACAAACAAACAAAAAAAACAAAAAACCTGACTTTGTGAAAAAGAGTAATGTTTCACAACGAAATAATGTCAACATTAACTTGCTAATATCTAATACCACTAGATTAACTGACCAAATAGTGGAATCATAGCTCTGGTAAGAAACTATAGAAGGCTTCAGGATAGAAAGATTGTCTTGACATTAGTAAGACTATAAAAGAATATAAGTTTGGTATAAACATGTTAGCTGTCAGAAAATGTTTTGGATAAATAAATATAAGTAAAAATAATAGAAATTCCCTACTATAACCTCTTTGAAACATTTGTCCTCTAATTTCTTATAAATTTAATTGCTCATAATCATGAGAAAAACAATTTTAAAATTACTTTTTATAGAACTTTGAATATTAAACAATCTTTTGGTTAATAGGACATTTTAAACAATTGAACTTTCAGTAGTTATCAAATATCTTACATTTTATTTCCAATTACAATTTTGTTTTTTTAAAAAAAGAAATCTAATTTCTCTTATGTGAATTAATGAAGAGAGCCTAAAAGCTGACTTACCAGAACAAAAGAAAAATCAAACTTTGATAGGTTGTGATTATATAAAAATAGTACTAACTAATATGAAGCTTGAGTGATCTTATTTATTATTCTAAACTTTTATTTATTTATTTTTCTAAAACTTTTCTTCACATGAAATGGTTAAAATCCAAACCGTGGTGTTCACATTCTTGGGGAAGTATCAATGTTAGCTTAATGTAATCGTGAATGTCAAATACATTATTTTGTAAATATCCAATATATTTTAGGAGGCCATTAATTCTATGACAATGATTACAACATTTACCTCTTTGCATCATGTATTCTTTAGTACAATATTTTATCTTTAAAATATTTCTAATCTTGATCTAGCTAGATACTTTATATATGACAGAGGTCAGCACATTTTTTTCTGTAAATGGATAGATAATAAATATTTCAGGCTTTGTGGGCCATATAGCTCTGTGACAACCAACTACTCAACTCAGTCATTATAGCATGAAAGCATCCATAAATAACTCATAAACAAATGAGTGTGTGGCTTTGTTCTACTTTATGTATGGACATTGAAATTTAAATGTCATTTTGTATGTGTCATAAAATATTGTTATTCTTTTGTTTTTGTTTTTTTTTAACACTAAAAAATGTAAGAAACATTGTTAGCTTGTAGTCTATACAAAAGCCTAATAATGTAAATAACATTCTTAGCTTGCAGACTGCATTTGGCTTGTGGTCCATAGTTTGCCAACCCCTGATATGGGTATTGAAGAGTCTGTCAACTGATTTCATTTGTTGAATGACAGTTTCAAGTTCATTGATGGTGGCTAGTCATAGAAAAATAATTTGCTTAAATATATTTTCATGCTTAGGGAAAGAAAAAACACAGTAAGTTTTTATAAAGATAAATTAATCCAATGACACTGTGCAAAGGTAACCAGTCAAACATCTAAACCATACATCCTTCACAAAAACTAACAATTGAAAAGACTTAGGGTGCAGAAAATTAAAAATAAAATCAGCAAAAAAGAGAGTAAAGTATTATACTAATTAGTTTTTCTGATGGAGAATTGTGTGACTCAAGATGGGCACCACTATTTTCTATATTAAAACTACCTAAAATGTAAAGCAAAGGAATATTGATGGACATTGAAAAGATTATATTTTGATGGAAAATGAGGGGTCCAACAGGGTATATACACTATTCACTTCATGTCCAAAGAACTGGGTAACTGATGTTTTCTTGACTATGGAAAAAGCAAAGTCCACATATTATAGCTCTCAAATATTTCTTATGATCAAAACTCAGGGCAGGATAGTAGGATGGCCCTAACTGAGACCAGCATTTTGTTCCCAAAAGCACCATAGGAAAGGAACAGTGCTGTTTATGCCAGAATCACTTTTATTTATTCATGAGAAGTGTAAAAGTACTTGCTAGTAAAATGAATTAGGTGGATATTTCTGCTGGCCACAGAATCCTAATGAAACTGCACTGCTCCTTGCACAGGAATTACAACTTAGAAAAGGGAACATTTGAGTTTCTTAAGCAGTGACGAAGATTCATCTAGGATTTACCATTAATTGGATTATGTTGAATTTCTACTCCCCCTCAAGTTCAACGGTCACTTTTATTATCCACTTATTACCCTGAAGGGTAAAGGGTGAATTTAATAGTCAAATGGTAGAATCCTCTAAGAAGTCTTCCATGCATTTGTTCTACATGACTAATGGTTCTCTAATTTCATTCCCAAATTACTTGGTCATAATTTATAATTGAAAGCACATTAAGAATAGTTCCCAAGTCAATCAAATAAAATGAGAGGAAGCACTAAATTTTAATGTCTTACAAAGAGCTTAACATTTCTCACTCATAATTTTTATTTGTCTTTTTTTTTGTTGCTGTTGTTAGAACTGACTCTATAGGAGCCAATTTTACATGCAGCCTAATGTGTCTTGGCTCTACTCATGTCTCTCAAGCAGCAGGCCAAATACTGTTCCATTCAGATTATTTCTATTACATAATCAGACAAAAATAATAGGGAAATAACACCACTGCCTTATATCCACCACTTCCCTCTTTGTAGTATTAATAGATTTTATCTCATTTGATTAATATTCACCTAGAAAAACCTCAGACTGAACTTTTATTAAACTCCAGATCTCTGGGAGAAGATCTCTTGTTGTGTCTTGACAATTAATGACTTAAAAATTAATATCTATTCTCACATAGGAAGTAGGAAAGAACATTGTTTCCTCCCTTACAACAACAAAACCTTGAACAATATGCAAACACAACTCTTTTCCTGAACTCACTGGAGAGTTAAAATCACAAACCAAGTAACTAACATGAAATCTAATAGAAGAGAGGCATCTCTAAAGACAGAGTGCAAGTGCATGCATACCTGGAGCAGGTACCAATGAACCCTTGGAAGAAGAGCATTTTTAACAAATTGCTGAAGACCAGGTGTGAGATAGCAAGAGAATGTAGAGCACTTGGAAACCACAGACACAAGAAAAAAATCATAATTTATACTCGTTCTCAAGCTCTTCTTGCAAAAAAGACCAATGAGAGTCATGAGAAAGCCTCCAAAAATGTGCAGATCTATTGGAGTTTAAGAGCAACCACTGTAAAAAAAAAAAGCCAGATCCATCCTCTCACTTTCCCCTTGAAAACCTACTACAATGGGAAGAATGGAAGTACAAAACACTGAGATGGCTCTTCTTCAATACTCATTGACAAAATGCTGCCTAAGACCAAGGCTTAATCAATACAATCAAGAATGCTTCTATCTCCTACCCACAGCAAGATAGCAAGCATTAAGGAACAGTGGTCTTACTCTCGGTAGAGGAACAAGAGCTTGTTGGAAAACACTCTAAGACATAGTACAAAGGAAAGACCTAAATGTGAGGGTGGAGCAGATATTGAAACAAACCCTTTAGGAAATGAGCTCCTACCCTAAATACAAGGTAATACTACAAAAATTTGAAGCCCATGGCGCACTAATAATAACTCTTCACACCAATGGGCTACCAGAAGGAAAGGCATGCCAATTTCTAGGCATAAAATCTATTTACTCTTGTCTCTATCATCCCACACAGTATGTTCAGTCCACAACAACAAAAACCACAAGATTGCGAGGCATACAAAAAACCAAGGAAAAAAACTCATGGACTGGAGACAAAGCAATCAACAGAAGCAGACTCAGATATAACAGTATTGTTTGAACTATCTAACAGTGGATTTAAAATTTCTATGATTAATGTGTTAAAGATTCTAGTGGAAAAGGTAGAGAGCATGAAGATTTAGGGGGGTAATTTTAGCAGGAGGAAGGAAACCATAAGAAATATTCAAATGGAAATGCTAAAACTAAAACGAACAAACAAACATGGAAAAGGAGATGAGAAGTGCCTTCAAATGGTTCCTCGTTAGATTTGACATAGCAGAAAAAAGAATCAGTGAACTTGAAGAAAATTCAATTGAAATGTCCCAAACTGAAGAGCAAAGAGGAGGGAAAAAATAAACAACAAAGCATCCAAAACATGCAGGTCATTATCAAAGAGTCCAACGTATGTGTAACAGGAATTGCAAAAGGAGAAGAGAAAGAAAACAAATCAGTAGAAATATTTGAAGAAATAAATGGCTGAGAATTTTCCAAAATTAATGTCAGACACTAAATCACAAAGAAACTCAGAGCACACCAATCATGACAGATTAAAACAAAACAAACAAAAAACCAATATCATATACAAACTACTAAAGCCAAAGACAGAGACAGTCTTGATGACAACCAGAGAAAAAAGGCACATTACATACAGAGGAACAAAAATAGTAATTACAGAAGAATTATATAAGACAAATTATATAAACCATAAGATGATGAAGTAATATCTCTAAGATGCTCACAGAAAAAAAATTATGTCAATCTAGAATTATAAAATCACCCAAAATATTTATAAAAATTAAGGAGAAATAAATACTTTTGTAGACAAAAATAAATAGAGACATTTCATTGCCAGCAGACTTTCACTAAACAAAATATTTTTAAAAGTTCTTAAAGCATAAGGAATATTTTTCAAGACAAAAACTTAGACCTACACAAATTAACAAAGAAAACAGAAAATGGAATAAGGGAAGGCATTTATAAAATTAATAGTTTTTTTTTAATATTTGCATTTGCTTTACAATACAAACGTGCTAAAGGACAGTATCAGTGTATTATGTGTTATTGCATATGTAAAATCAAAATGTATGACAATAATAGCACAAGGATGAGGATGAATTTGAAATAATCTGTTGTAAGGTTTTACACTATAGACAAAGTGGCATATTATTTAAAAATAGGCATTAACGTAATGACATATATTATATTTTAAAACCTAGTGTAATCAATAGAATAGATTTAAAGGGGCCATATAAATGAAAAGCCAATAGTGGAGATAAAATAAAATTGTAAAAATACTTAATTCATACAAAAGGAGGCAGAGAAGAGGTACAAAGAAACAATAAAAAGCAATTAGTAAGGTCACAGATTTTGCCACATTTAAATGAGTAACAATATTAGTGTAAGTTATATAATCCCACTATAAGACTGAGATTTTCAAACAGATAAAAAAAGCAAAACCCAACTATATGCTGTCTACAAAAAAGCACACCTTAAGTATAAAGACATAAATATATTAAAAGGAAAAGGAAGAAAAATACATATCATGAAAACTTAATGAAATATATATATTGTATTTTATATATATAGTATATATATATTTATTTATATATATGTGTATATATATATATAAATATATATATTTAGAGTACAATGAAACACAATAAAAGAAAACTGGGAGGATGCACCATGGCTGATTAGAAGCAACTGTGGTCCGTGGCACTCAGGAAGAGGAATGAAAAGGGGCAAGTGAATTCAGCACCTTCAACTGAAATACCTAGGTTCTTGCATTGGGACTGATTAGCCAAACAACTCGACTCATGGAGAAGGAAGAAAAGTGAAGGGGGTGGAGGAGATGGCCTACCGGGGAGTGGCACAGAGCCAAAGTAGCCCCACCCCAAAAGCCAAGGGAAGCAGTGAGTGATTGAAACCATGCTTCTCTCAAAGATCTTTGCAACCTGTAGATCAGGAGATCCCCTTGTGAGCCCATGCCACCAGGGCATTGGGTCTGATACACAGAGCTGTGTGGAGTCTCAGCAGAGCAGCAGCTCAGGCACCCACAGAAACTGAGAAGTTTTACATACTCTGGCCCCAGGATCCCTGGCAAGGCAGGAAATACATCCGTCCATATCCCTAGAAAAGGGGTTGAATCCAGAGAGCCAAGCAGGACCATTCTGTGGGCCCCACTTCTAATGCACCTTACAAGTTAAAAACCACTGGCTCAGAATTCCAGCCAGACAATGGCAACAGGCTGGAATCTGCCTGAGGCAGGGTTCAAGTTCCAGGGGCAGTGGGTGGGGGAGGGGGCCACAGTCTCTGCAGTTCAGTAGACTCAATTATTACAGCCTGCTGGCTTTGGCAAATACAAATGGTCCTGATGAGAAAGAGTGCCCCACAACAGCACAGCTGCCTTGCTGGATTTTGGCAAGACTGCTTCTTTGAGTGGGATCTTGATCCATTCCTCCTCACTGAGTGGGACCTTGCTTGATATAGGGGCTTCAGCCACTCCAGCTATGGTTCTATGGCTGGGGCTCTAAGATTAGAGCCCTGGCCTGAGATGGAACTCCCAGGGGGAGGGGCAGCTGCCACCTCTGCAGTTGGGTTGACTCAGCCATTCCAGCCTGCCAGCTTTGGAGAATACAAAAGATCTGCATGAGGAAAGGTCCCTCCCAACATAGCACACCAGCTCTACCAAAATCAGCCATACTGCTTCTTTAAGCAGGTCTCTGATCCCATTCCTCCTGACTGAGACCTCCCAATAGGGGTCCCCAGCCACCTCCTACAGGTGTGTTCAGGCTGGCAACTGGTCAGTAGGCCCTGGGAGAGAGGGTCTCTCCCAGGAAAACCTCATTCAAAGGTCAGCAACCTCAAAGATCAAAGCTAGATAAGCCCACAAAGATAAGAATCAATGCAAAAATGCTGGAAACTCAAAAAGTCAGAGTGTGTTTCTTCCAGATGACCACAACACCTCTCCAGCAAGGGCAAAGAACTTGGGCTGAGGCTGAGATGGCTGATTTGAGAAAAGTAGGTTTCAGAAGGTGGGTAATAACGAAATTCACTGAGCTAAAGGAGCATGTTGTAACCCAATACCAAGAAGCTAAGAATCATGATAAAATGATACAGGAGCTGTATGCCTAGAAATCCTCATGTTCCTTTTCCTCTCTCATTTCTCAGGTCTCTGTTACAAGTTGACAAAAAGTTCACAACTCCTGAAACTCTAAACATGATACTAACTTGCAACATGCTTTATGATTTTGTCTTTCTTGAAGAATAATTTAAGTAGAGTCTCACAAAATCCAAAGCACATTTTTTATCTGATATCTTCACCACATGATCAAACTAGGACATTAACAGGGTAGTTCACACCTGGGCTGCAGCATTCAACATGATTTAAATCAAACCCAAAGCCTGTCCTGTAAATAAAATGATTGGTTTCAAGCCAAGTTGATAATGAAATAAATTCTATAATTAATGACCACTATGTTTTCTTATCTGATAGACAGGTGCACTTTTAATGGTGTTGAAACTTTATGGCTAGATTCCAAGACTGTAAAGCCACAGGTGGATTCCTATTATATAAGATTCTTGTTCATATATTTCAGTGTTGCCATGCATGTCGTGAGCTCAATAATGGCATTATTTCATCTGTAAACCCAGTAATTATATATAATAAGATATATCAGAATGTCACAAGGTCTAACAATGACACAAATATTAAAAGTAGAAGTTTCTTATTTAAGTATAGCAAGCACTTAGCAATTTATATCTAGATATATCAAATTAGTTAAAATTTTTTTAAATGCTATTTTTTATTTTTTCACATTATTTTCAAAGATAATTCTACAGGGGTTGTCTTTTCATTATAATATCATTTTATAAAGTTTGAATGATTTATCATACATTTGCATAAACTATACTACATTAAAAATCATACATTAAGAAAAATAAATTATTGGCCTGTGTCATAGTTTGGAATATATTTAAAGTAGAAGTAATAATTTCAAATGAAAGATTTATTTTCCCAAGCTTTACTTTAATAATTGCTAAGATTTATAATTCACTTACCAAGTATCAGGTACTATGATAAGTACTGTGATGGTTAATATTGTCAACTTAACTGGACTGAAGGATACAAAGTATTGTTCTTGGGTGTGTCTGTGAGGGTGTTGCCAAAGGAGATTAACATTTAAGTCAGTGGACTGGGAGAGGCAGACTCACTCTCAATCTGCGTAGGCACTATCTAATCAGCTGCCAGTGTCGCTAGAATAAAGCAGGCAGAAGAAGATGGAGAGAGTAGACTCACTGAGTCTTCCGGTCTTCATCTTTCTCCCGTGCTGGATGCTTCCTGCCCTCAAACGTCAGACTCTAAGTTCTTCGGCTTTTGGACTCTTGGACTTACATTAGTGGTTTGCCAGTGGCTCTTGGCACTTTGGCCACAGACTGAAGGCTGCACTGTCAGCTTCCTGAGTTTTGAAGTTTTGGGACTTGGATTGATCCACTACTGGCTTCCTTGCTCCTCAACTTGCAGATGGCCTATTGTGGGACTTCACCTTGTGATATGTGAGTCAATTTTCCTAAATAAACTTCCTTTCATATGTACATATATTCTGTGAGTTCTGTCCCTCTAGAGAACCCAGACTAATGTAAGTATTTTCTTTTTTAATCTTCTTAACAGTCCTATAAGATGAATTTTTTTAATTCTTATGTTATACACAGGAAACCAAGACAAAAATAAGTCAAGGAGCTGGAACAGCTATTAGGTGGTATAATGAAGATTCAAATCCAGGCTGTCGATTTCAAAGCTTTACACCTAATACTCAGTACTGCATCCCAGATGTCAAACAACATGCAGCATTACTATTCATGATTCTCAAACTCTTCAATAAAAGTTTAAAAATATACAGGTGAATATTCTCTTTCTCTTTAATGATGCATACAGTAGATCTCAGGATATGCTGATATACTAGAAATGCTGCCTATATAATAGTGAATGTGAAATAGGTAAAGAGAAAAAAACCTATCACACTGTACAGAGAAAAAAATGATGTTCAGAGAGTAAATAGAGAGCATTATGGTATTCATACTGTTGTATTATGTGTGGGCAGACGATTACTTTTAATATTGAACTCCAAACTTTTTGCCAAGAAAATATAAACCCTGTCAATTGTCACAGTGTGGCAAACAATACACAGGCTGAACACGTGGGCAAATGATCAGAACAAATAATCTTTATGTCAGGGCAAAGCCAGTCCCAGACCTATAAGCAAATAGTGGCAGAATTTTAGAGATAATATTGATGAGGAGAAATCTCCTTAGAGAAACAATAAATAAAGACTGGACTTTATGAATGTGAGTGAGTTCCTAAACAATAGAAGAGATATTCATCTAACTAAAAAGGTGATATTCCAGTGTAAATGGAGAAGTGAAAAATAATACCATGATACAATATATCAATTCAATAAAAATGTTTTGAACCAGTATTATGTGTCAAAAACATAAAAATAGCATGTTCTCATGATGTTTGCAATCTATTAGGGAAAATAGATGTTCATCTAGGAAAGTGATAAGAATTAAGCTAGAGAAATCTGCAAGGACTAAGTCATGTTTGATTATTTAAGCCACTTTAGGAGATTATGAATTTTTTTATTACCCTAAAGACATGTTAAATTATTTCAAGGTTTAAGCAAGGGAATGATAAGTTAATATTTCCATTCTCAATAGATAACTCTTAAATGTGAATTAAAGCTGAAGAATAAAAGTAAGAGGACTAATTAGAGGGCTATTTATCAATCTGTCGATAACTTAGAGTCTTGAACAAGACAAATATAGTCATGTGTTACTTAATGACAGGGATACATTCTGAGAAATTTGAAAATAAATAAGGGATACTAAAGAAAAGGTGGGCATAAAGGATGATTACCCTAACTCAAACTAGAGGCTACATGGTGGTGTGATTTACCTGGCTAGACAACATTGGAGAGTTGTTCATGAGTTCATTTTTGGACATGTTTGATTTCAGGTACCTGTAAGACATCTAAATAGAGATATTACTTAGCCAATTGGGTTTGTAAATCAGGAATTCAGAAAGATGTTTGATCGGAAAGTACAAACAGTAAACCAGTAATTCAGAAAGATGTTTGATCTGAAAGTATAAATAGGTAAGTCATCAGCATATAAATGACAGGTAAAGCCATGAATATTGATAAGAGCACCTGAGAGGAAGTAACAGTGAGAAAAGAAAGTCTAGGGGAGACAGCTCTATAAAATTTGCCATTTCAAGTCAGATATCATAACATTTGGCAAAAGAGCCTGAGAAATACCAAGAAAATCAGGTAAATACTAGCTATGTCAGGGAAGACCAGGGCAATAATAATGAACTACTATGTAGTCAAGTGTGTGGAGTACTACCAAGACATTATGGAGAATCACAATGTAAACAATGCAAATAATAATAATAAGGAAACCAGGACCTTTATTCTCATCAATGTCTGTTGCTGACCACAAGGTCTTCAGGGAAGGGAAAGTCAAAATTGTTTTCAGAATCCTACTATATAACTCTCTTATACATTCATGCACCACATAACAATATTTCAATCAATGTTGAACTGCATACACAAAGTTGGTCTTGCAAGATTATAATGAAGCTGAAATACTCCTGTTTAGTGATAGTGTGTCCATAATAGTGCACTGTATTGCTCACATGTTTGTGGCGATGCTGGTGTAAACAAACCTACTGTGCTGCCAGTCACATAAAAGTATATTACATACAATTATATACAGTACATAATACTTCATAATGATAATAAAGTACTATGCCACTGGTTTATGTATTTATTATACAATCATGTGTCACATAATGACATTTTAGTCAACAACAGACCACATACACAATAAATTTAAAAATGTCTCATAAATCAAGACTTCTTACAAAACCAAATTAAATAGAAAGCAGAAGGGAGAACAGAGAACACTGCATTTCCTTTAGGCTCCTTGCCTAATTCTTCTTGGGTTCAGAGCCCAATTTCCATTGAACCTATTCTGGTTACTTTAAGTTATGGATACAAAGGCCAATCCTTAGTATCATGATTTCCCAATCTTATCTAGCTGGTCATATTCTGAAGACCATTTTCTAGTTTCTAGTTAGTTATTCTAATGGACAAGTCTGTGCACACAAGCTTTGAATGAGCTTGATTAGGTTGCTCTTCATAAATTAACTGAAAAACACATTATAAATAAGATTATATAATATCTCTTACTATTTTCACTATCCTTTTAAATAGAAATATATGGAAACAGCTGTCTGCTCCAGTATGAGAGTATTTTCACTATAGAATTAACTATTGCTTGACTGTGAATGCCATTTTTATCGTCAGTTGCTCAAGGGTGCAACTAGAACACTAAGGAGCATACCCATCTCTACTCCTGAAAAAAGTTACGTCAACCTGATTCATACCAACCTTTAAATCTGATGAACAAACTAGGAGAGACTGCTCCAAAACCAGAATAGATTGTTTACTCAGAGAAAGAGCCATAATGTCATTCTAGTGAAACCATATGCAAAATGTTACTTCCCTTAGGATAATACATATTCCAAAATTAAATATTCCACAACCTAAGTAGGCTTACTTCTCAAATCACTGAGTTTTAATAACAGATTTTTATTAAGGTCTACTTTGTGCCCAATTCTTTATATATAGTATGTAATAATAGTTTTAAAAAGCTACTACTTATTAATAGCTTACTATGTCAAGGAAAGGTATCAGGAACATAGCATGCTCCATTTCTTTAAATCCTTTCGACACTCTCTAAAGTAGAAGGTGGCCCTTGGCTTATGAATAAACTGGGTCTAGGTGGTTAATTTATTTGCCCATGTCCAAAAATTTAATAAGTGGTTGAAACAAGACTCAAATATAGGTCTCTTTTGCCTCTCATGATATTCCCAATTCTCTATCTATAGAAAAGCCCTAGGTCCTAAATTCTTTGTACCTTGGAGACTTTACACCTGATCACCTGAACCCAGAAGGGACTGATAGCCAGAAGACCACAGGAAACAAATGAATTAGAAATTGAATTTCTTGGAATTTCTTATCTCAAGAAACACGTCAGACAAATGAAAACATCAAATCCCAACTGGGTGATGTTCTGACCAGCTTTCCTCACTAGTACCCCTTAAAACTGTCAAGGTTTTCAAAAGCAAGGAAAGTCTGAGAAACTATGACAGCCAAGTAGAGTGTCTAAAGCAACATGATGACTAAATTTAATGATGTATCCTGGATGGGATCCGGGAAGAGAAAAACAGCCTTAGGTAAAAATTTCAGAAATCTAAATAAAGTATGTACTTTAGTTAATGAGTCCATATTGGTTCAATTATTCTGACAAATGTATCATATTAAGATATTAATAATAATATAAACTGAATTTGTGGTATATGGAAACTGTGCTATCTTCACACATTTTCTGTAAATCTACACCTTTTCTAAAATAAAAAGTTTATTTAAATATAAAAAAACTACTCTGAAATTTGTTTTTACTAAGACCTTTAAACATAATTATCAAACTAAATACAATATTTTTGGTAAAGACTTAGCTGAAATGCATGCAATTTTATTTGGAGCATCATATCCATGTGCAACATTCCAAGCTGCAACTTCAATTAATTAAGTTTGGTTCATATGCCATTTGGTCTGCTGGTCATTTTAGTAACATTATTTTTATACAATCTAAGGCATTAGTTTCATACTTTCATCAAGACATAGCTTTTCAGAAGTTCCCTAACTAGTTTCAGTTGGTTTCCTCATGTGTAAAGTGGAGACAACAATATGTAATTCACACGACTGAGATTAGGATGAAATGAGATAATGGTATTAAGCCTAGCGAAGAAAGATCTTCACATATGTAAGTTCTCAAAATATGTTGCTTTCTCGTTCAAACATCATCATTTTTTGTGTGTGAAACATCAATTTTCTTTTCTTTATTCTGTGTGTAACAAATCTGAAGACTTTCAGAGGGTGTACAGAGTAGATTAGAAATTTTTTTTTGAGATTTCACTGCAACATGGGCTAAGGCACATAGTATCTGGATGGATCACAGAACATGAGTATGGACCTTGTACAACAAAGTGATGTGCAGCCACCATGTGTGAAGATTTGCTGTCATATATATAAGGTGGCCAAGTCTCCCTCTTCACCCAGTTAAATATCATTTTGCATAACATTTTAAAAATAAAGTGATGTGCATCTAGGTAATTTGGGTTCTTTTAAGTCATAGAACTCTTTTTCTCAAGCTGAGGAAAAATTGAGGCTTGACATTATTATAATAGGTGGTCAAATTCTTAGCAAACCAATGTACTTCCTATCAACTATTTAAATGATTCCTAAATAATAATTTGTACGCTGGGTAGAGCTTGTGTATTAGTAGGGATTAACACGGCGATCAACCTTTAAAAAAAAAAGATGAAAATCAAAAAAGGTAAAGGAGAGGAGGTGTTCACCTGCAGAGAATAAGTCACCCCTTCACATGCAAATTTTGGGGCTGAACCACATTAATAAAAAATGTACATGAATTTTTCAAAAGTGAAGATGAGTGTCTATCCATTTATTTTCCATAATTCCCCTCCCTCCCACCCCCACCTTTTTTTGTGAGTCATAAAAACACTTCTGGGCTGGCTGATCAGGTTTGGAGGAGAGCTGCAAATGAAGGTATAAAGCACAGCAGGTCTCTTGATCAGAATTTGAGATGAAGGCACGCTGTCCTTGGAGTCTTTCTAAGACATCCAGGAAATGGAAAGGCAGTGGCAGCACATCTGTTAAGTTCATTATATTGCTTTCTTGAAAATGAGACAAGTTTCTATTATGAAGAAACTGCCATAGCGTTTTCCTACCCTTTTCTCTTTTATCTTTTTAAAAATAGAAAATCATGAATTTAATCCATTGAACATGAATTACATAAGTAATGTTATATACTTTTAAAAGATAAATGAAATAATCTAATCTATAGTTTACAGCAAAGTACACAGATATTATCTTTGTGGAAAACTCACATCTGTAAAGAGTTGCAAACACATTAAAGTAAATCTCCCAAGGAACAGCCTGGGTCCATATTTATAATCTGGCAACAATCGTATTTACTATAAATGATGAAAAAGATCACTTTATATGTGTAGGCAGAAAAGACCTTTAGATGCATTTTCTTTCTTTTTTTAAATTTTACTTTAAGTATGGGATACATGTGCAGAATGTGCAGGTTTGTTACACAGGTATACATGTGCCATGGTGGTTTACTGCACCTATCAACCCATCATCTAGGTTTTAAGCCCTGCATGCATTAGGTATTTGTCCTAATAAGTGCATTTTCTTTTATGGCTTCTGACATGTGGCAAATGAAGTCATATTTTATAGATTTCAATTCTACTCATTCTCAAATACCACTGAACAGCTGAATGGTAGTCTCTTTTCAAGAGCCTTACTGAGAAAGCAAGAAACTAGTGTGTGAAAACCAAGTCATTCTATATTGTGCATTTAAGATTCAATGTAATATTTTTATATTTATAGTCATTTATCCACATATATTAATCACCACCATCAAATATATTTCCTATTTTATCAGATGTCAAAAGCTAACCACAAATCATATGTGGTTACATCATATTTGATGTATGTATGTATGTATATATATGTATCTACAGAAAATAATATATACAAATGTAAATTTATCTACTATGATGCTTAAAATTTTTCTTCCTCCTACTTTTTTGTTATTGTCTAGCAATAACAAGTACTTTTTTTTTTCTTTTTGTATTTTTAGTAGAGACAGGGTTTCACCATGTTGGCCAGGCTGGTCACAAACTCCTGACCTCAGGTGGTCCACCCACCTTGGCCTCCCAAAGTGCTGAGATTATTACAGGCATGAGCCACGGAGCCCGGTCTACTTGTACAACTTTTGAACAATTAGCTGCACAATCAGGTTAACTACAAAAGCAGTTAGAGCAACCAAGTTAACGGATACAATACTTTCTAGGAGAAATTTTTTTGCATACACAGTCCTGTCCACATATATATCTGAATCACCTTTTCTTAACATGAAGTATCGAGACAAATGGATTGCTGAAGTGAGTTGCATTTACTGTAAGATCTAACATTGTCTCTACTTCTGAGATAAATTTGTGTTTTTTTGAGCTTTCAAAAATAGGACACTGGGGGTGTCTACATGTCAACTGAATTAAGATCAACATTCCACTTTTGAGCTTTTCTGGCTTTCCTGGACATCCAAAGCTGCTCTTCTACATCTCACTCTCATGTAAAGACATATCATCTTAAAAATTATCTCATTTTTATTTTTAAAATGTCAGCTTTTGATTATCATCATTCTCATAAAGAGTTCTCCACTTATAACCTAGCAAAATAGCCCATCCATTATCTGACCCCTCAGCTTTCTTCATAGCACTTATTAAAGGTTAACATTATTCTGTCTCTCTATCTTGCTATAATCAATCTCTCCAACCCTTAAATCAATCTATGATAGATTTTTATGGCTTATTTTCACTACTGGAATATAACCTCTGTGAGGGCAAGGAATTTATTTTATATTCTGCTATAGCTAATACTAGCATGGTACCTGGCACTTATTAGAAACTAAAAAATTATTTGTGCAACAAATAAGCAAATCAATAAATAAATGTAAAGTCTTTTATTAGGTAATAGTATCTTGTTTTTTCTATAAGAATGCTATTTAATAAGGGGTGGGAGACAGGGGCATAAACAAGATGGTAGAATAGAAGGCTATACTGTTTATATTCCCTGCTGGAATATCAAATTTTAACAAGTATCTGCACACAGAAAAGCACCATCACTAGAATACAAAATCACATGAGCAATAACAGTACCTGATTTTAACTGCATATCACTGAAAGAGTCATTGAGGAGGGCAGGAGAGAGAGTCTTGAATCCTTGAAGTGACCCTTCCCCCATCTCTCCCACAGTAGTCATGCAGGGCAGAGAGATAATCAGTGTACTTTTGGGATGGAGAGCACAGCAAATGGGGGTCTTTACATTGAACTCAGTGCTGCCCTATCATACTAGAGAATAAAGCTGTTCTGGGCTCAGGCAGTGCCCTTACAAGGAGGGAGCATTGGGATCAGCCCTAGCCAGACAGGAATCATCCATCCCAGTGGTTGGAACTTGAGTTTCCAGCAAGCCTCACCGCCACAGGCTGAATTGCTCTGGTCTCTTAGGTAAACTGGAAAGGCAGTCTAGGACACAAGGACTACAATTTCTAGGCAATTCCTTGTGCTACACTGGCTTAGAACAAGTGGACTAGGGTAGCACGTGACCCAGGGAGACATTAGCTGGCATGGCTAAGGGAATACTTGCACCATCCCTCCCCCCAACCCAAGGCAGTATATCTCATGCAATTAAAGTGACTCCTTCCTTCTGATTAGAAAGAGGAGAGCAAAGAGTAAAGAGGACTTTGTCTTGCATCTTGGATACCAGCTCAGCCACAGTAGGATACAGCACCAGGCAGAGTCATGAGGCCCCCATTCCAGGCCCTAGCTCCCAGATGGCATTCGAAGACACACTGTGGGCCAAGTGAGAACCCACTACCTTAAAGGGAGGGACTCAGTCCTTGCAGCATTCATCACCCGCTGACTAAAGAACCCTTGTCTGGGAGGCTGAGGCGGTAGAATTGCTTGAACCCAGGAGGTGGAGGTTGCAGTGAGCTGAGATCATGCCACTGCACTCCAGCCTGGGCGACAGAGCAAGACTCCATCTCAAAAACAAAACAAAATGAAACAAAAAACAAAACACTTGTCCCTGAATAACCAACAGTGATTACCCAGGGAATGCTGTGGACCATAGACCCTGAGACATGCTCTGTTCAGGAGTGAAACAGTAAATTCAAAACTGTGGTGGCTGCAGTGAGAGACTCCTTCTGTTTGAAAAAAGCAGAGGGAAAAGTAAAGGGGATTTTGTCTTGCACCTTGGATATCACCCAGGCCATAGTCAGGTAGAGCAACAAGCAAGCTCTTGGGGTCACCAAATCCAGGTCTAGGCTCTTGGAGAGCACTTTTGGACCTCTGCTAGGCCAGAGGGGACCTGACAGCCCTGAAGGGTGGGTCCCACGCCTGGCAGCATTCGCCACAAGCTGATGGAAGAGCTCTTGGCTTTAAGTAAACATCGGTGGTGGCCTGGTGGAACCCTCCATGGACTGGTGGTGGTAATGACCACCAGGAGAGGCTTATACCAGGAAAGGCCACCCTTTGGAAAGGGGAGGGAAGAGCAGGAAAGACTTTGCATTGTCGTTTGTATGCCAGCCTAGCCACAGCAGAATAGAACAACAGGTAAATGACTAAGATTTTTAACTCCAATTCCTGGCTCCTAACGAGCATCTCTGGACATGTCCAGGGCCTGTGGGAACTCACTACCCTGAAGTGCAGGGTCTTGGCAAGGCCCAGTATTCATCTGACTTCATGTCTGACCCAGTGCAGTCCCAGTGGTGATGGCCACAGGGTACTTGCATCATCACATGCCCAGTTCCAGGTGAATCAGCACACACAGAGAGATTATGTTCCTTTGGGAGAAAGTAAGGGAAAAGAACAAGAGTCTCTGCCTGGTAATCCAGAGAATTCTTCCAGATCTTATCCAAGACCACCAAAGCAGTATCTCTGCGAGTCAGCAAAACTCATAGTGTTATTGGGTTTGGAGCCCAAGTAGCTTCAAATACCTGGAAAGCCTTCCTAAGAAGGACAGAAACAAACAAGCTCAGACAGCAAAGACTAAAACAAATACCTAACTTTTCAATTTCCAGACACCAACAAACATTTACAAGTGTCAACACCATACAGAAAAACATGGCCTCACCAAATGAACTAAATAAGCTAACAGGGAACAATCTTGGAGAAATGGAGTTATATGACCTTTCAGACAGAAAATTCAAAATAGCTGTCTTGAGGAAGCTTAAAGAAATTCAAGATAACACAGAGAAGGAATTCAGAATGCTATTAGATAAATGTAACAAAGAAATTAAATAAAGAGAAAAAAGCAGAAATGTTAGAGTTTAAAAATGCAAATGACATGATGAAGAATGCATCAGTATTTTAATAGAATTGAATAAGCAGAAGAGAAAAATAGCTTGAATAAAGGATATTTTAAAATACACAGAGGAGACAAAAGAAAAAAGAATAAAAAACAAAGAAGCACACCTACAAGATCTAAAGGTGCAAATCTAAGAGTTCCTGGCCTTAATGAGGAGAGAAAGAGATAGGGGTAGAAAGTTTTTTTTTAAAGGATAACAGAGAACTTCTCTAACCTAGAGAAAGATATCAACATTTAAGGACAAGAAGCTTATAGAAACACCACACAGATTTAACCCAAAGAAGACTATGTCAGGGGACTTAATCAAACTTTGAAGATCTAGGATGAATAAAGGAACCTAAAATTAGCAAGAGAAAAGAAACAAATAACATATAATGGAACT